>NC_000012.12:44429824-44581340 GCF_000001405.40 Homo sapiens | reverse complement strand
AGTGGGCAGTGTAGATTGTAAAAGATTTTAAAAAAATCTTTTTTCTTTTAAATTAAGTATCTTTAAGATGTAGAGCTCTGACTACTTTTCCTATAATTAAAACTTACATACACAAAAGTAGCCGTCCAATTAGTGGCACATTGGTAAGTAAAAACTGATGGCTTTAAGTATAGACTTTAAAACTACTAGAAAGTTTTATTTATTCACTGAAAGGCCTGAAATTATATGCATGTGGAAATCACCTAAAATAGATATGGAATCACTTTCATAAGTGACTGAATCATTTAGGAAGTGGAAATGTAAATTGTCCCATGCAAATATTACATTTTTAAAAAAGTTCGTCTCAAAATGAAGGTAACATGTTTTACTTTATTGACTATTTTGCAATCATATTATTTTCTATACTGATTTTAAAATATTGCAGTAATTTAAATTCAAACTGAAGCTCTATATCCTTCCAACTGCATTTGAGAAATAGGCATTTGTTATATAAAATGAGCTGAAATGTACAGCTCACAAATAATAAAATACCCTGAGGCTTCCTTTTAGTGATTTTTCGAACTTAAAGCCATTTTCCAGAAATTCAGCAAATTCATGCATTATGAGTTTTTTGTTTGTTTGTTTCTTTGAGACAGAGTCTTTCTCTGTCACCCAGGCTAGAGTGCAGTAGCGCGATTTTGGCTCACTGCAACCTCTGCCTCCTGGGTTCTAGCGATTCTTCTGCCTCAGCCTCCCGAGTAGCTGGGATTACAGGTGCCCACCACCACACTAATTTTTTGTATTTTTATTAGAGATGGGCTTTCTCCATGTTGCCCAGGCTGGTTTCGAACTCCCGAGCTCAGGCAATCTGCCCACCTCGGCCTCCCAAAGTGCTGGGATTACAGGCGTAAGCCACCGCACCCAGCTGGAATGACATCTGTCCTACTTCTGAGCACTTACTTTGTGTCACTTCTGTGATGCTTTTCTGTGAGAGCTCACAGATCTGTGAGACAAGGCAGTGAGGGTAGCGGGCTGCTCCTTACTCTCAACTTAATCTCAACAGACACCATTTTTTCCCTTGAATCAATGTGAATCTTCCACATAACTATCCCCTATTCTGATGAACCCATAACAGAAAAATGACATTACACAGTTAAGAAGGTTATACCAGAGTAGGAGTCTCTACTACAAGTTAATCTTAAAATGAAGTGGGTACAAAGTCCAATCAAGTAGACCTTTGGAGAGATTTTCTCTCTAAACACATATCATTGCAGCACATTTTAAAAAACAGTTTAGCCATCCCAAGAAAAATTCTGAAACACGTATTTTTTGCTTTCAGAAAGCTTTCTGGATAGTTAAATAATGTATATAAAAACCCATAAAATAATTTGTTATGAATATTTGAATATGGTTTAACAGTTTCATAGAGCTACAGAATACATTATGTCATTTGATGCACTCTCTCAGAAAGCCATTGAAATATGTATGACAGATATTCCACATCTTAGAGATGAGGTAATTGAGGTAATAAAGGCATTAACAGATTTTTTTTCTAGTCTCACACAACCAGAAGGTGTCAGAACAAGGAATTAAAGTCTCATATTCTAATGCCAAATGTGTCTTTAAAAATAACTGACCCTATTGATTTAATACAGTGAGAAAACAGTTTAACTGTATTTGACACAGTTAAACTGTGTTTCTTGGTATTAAAACTAAAGTCATATTTAGTAGGCATTCTTCTGTTTTAAGGCGGCAGTAGTAAATTTGTTTTATGTGGTAAGCCATATGAAAAGCTGGGAATATAAATTTTAGAGTCAACATCTTATAGGACCTGTCAGAATATGGTTCCACTCAAAATCAGTCTACTTCCACTGTCTCGAAGGTTCTTAATGGACAGATGTAAGGCCAAGGTGCTAACAAGTGTTACACTTGTTTCAGAACAAAATCGTTATCTATATGCCTGTTGGCACAGCAAACTGGGGTCTAAGTATTTGTCCATGCCTTTGAACAGATTCAAAACTGATTTGGGGGAACATAATCTGATCTCACCTATAATTAGCCCCCTGGTATACCTGCAAGAGTATGTTACTTCTGTGAGCTAATCCAAACTCTGATTTTTTACAAAAACATGTAGACTTGGTTGCCCATGTGTTTGAATCTAAAGTGATGCATGCTCTCCTAATAAACAAATCAAAATGACAACAATTCAGGGACAAATCAGAAAATTAAAATTGGAAGTAACTTTGATCCAGCACCTATCAAAAGGTGGCTTAAAATCTCTGATGTTTTTAGAGAGTAAAAATGAAAAGGACATATCAAAATCCATTCCTCTGGGTTCTCTGAGCTCCAAACCTGAATTGAATAAAGTAATGCAAAACAAACAAACAAACAAAAGAATGCCCCTGAGAAATGCCTTTGAGAAAAAAACTAAGTTGTGATTGAACCTAAGAGAGACAGAGAAAGTAGGCTTTTGAAGGCTTTTTCTGTTTCTTTGCAAAACAGTAATAAATTATTGACCATCACCTTAAGACATTTCCCTTATAAACTACTCTTACAATTCAAACCATGGAATAAGTCTGTTTCTTCAAGAAAACCTATATGCACCATTTTGTTGGATGTTAAAAACTCTCCAAATTTTTCTTTTTGACTTTGTTGCTGGGTGGATCTCTTGCCCAGTCCCTGGCACACATTACTCTCTCCTGGAGTTTTTTGTTGCCACAAAAAAAAAAAAAGGCTATATTTGCAAGGTATAGATTTGAGGAGTATGCAAAGTATAGATTTTAATTAAAGATACACATCTCTAAGCAAGGCCTAGAAGGAAGACTGTGGAACAGCCTTCATACAATTTTATTGTGGTACTCTCATTGCTTTCAAGGCATTTTCCTATTTCTCTTAACTCTATTTTCATAGCCTTAGGCCTTTTTTTTTCCTATCTTGATCAATTACTTTACTTTCAATTTCTTTTCAGAATTGAAGATTTCTATCGTTTTACTTAAACTTGAAGTACTCTGTGATAGGATGAGGGGTTTTTTG
Organism: Homo sapiens; assembly: GCF_000001405.40. Taxonomy (NCBI): domain Eukaryota; kingdom Metazoa; phylum Chordata; class Mammalia; order Primates; family Hominidae; genus Homo; species Homo sapiens. The sequence goes on along the minus strand of NC_000012.12, from coordinate 44,578,328 downwards.
TTTCTATATATTTAAGTATATGTTTTGTTTGTATATATTTAACATTTTGGTATCCTGTATTTTAAAGATCTTATTATGTTTAAGATGTTTACAAAATGGAAAGGTGTAGCTCCTTGAAGAAAGTTAGTAAAAAAAAAAATAATTGTTAAAACACAGAAGTAGAGGGATTAAGAACAGACTCAAACAGAATCAGAGAGAAATTGAGTTAAAACAACCATTTACTTCAATAGATACTTACTGAACTACATTTAAGGGATAACGTTTGGTACTACAGAGTATTCAAAGATAAGTACGGGCCAGCTCTTACCTCTAAGGAATTTAAATTTCAGTAGAAGGAATTGAAAATACACAAATTACTATAGCATGTGAGGACTTCAAAAGGTTCAAAGGATAGAAATTACCTCCACTTGGTGTAATCTAGGCAGAATTCAAAAATGCAAGTTAGAATTGATCGGGCCACATGTTAAGAGTCAGGGCAATTACTATTATATAAATGCAACGATCAAGGTCTGCTAGTTCCGTTGGAGCTAGTTTTAAGAGAAGGCAGGCTCGGCCAGGTGCAGTGACTCATGCCTGTAATCCTAGCACTCTGGGAGGCCGAGGTGGGCGGATCACGAGGTCAGGAGATCGAGACCATCCTGGCTAACATGGTGAAACCCCATCTCTACTAAAAAAATACAAAAAATTAGCCGGGCATGGTGGTGGCGCCTGTATTCCCAGCTACTCGGGAGGCTGAGGCAGGAGAATGGTGTGAACCCGGGAGGCGGGGCTTGCAGTGAGCCGAGATCATCGTGCCACTGCACTCCAGCCTGGGAGACAGAGCAAGACTCCATCTCAAAAAAAAAAAAAAAAAAAAAAAAAAACTACTCATCTGACAAAGGGCTAATATCCAGAATCTACAATGAACTCAAACAAATTTACAAGAAAAAAACAAACAACCCCATCAAAAAGTGGGCAAAGGACATGAACAGACACTTCTCAAAAGAAGACATTTATGCAGCCAAAAAACACATGAAAAAATGCTCATCATCACTGGCCATCAGAGAAATGCAAATCAAAACCACAATGAGATACCATCTCACACCAGTTAGAATGGCAATCATTAAAAAGTCAGGAAACAACAGGTGCTGGAGAGGATGTGGAGAAATAGGAACACTTTTACACTGTTGGTGGGACTGTAAACTAGTTCAACCATTGTGGAAGTCAGTGTGGCGATTCCTCAGGGATCTAGAACTAGAAATAGCATTTGACCCAGCCATCCCATTACTGGGTATATACCCAAAGGACTATAAATCATGCTGCTATAAAGACACATGCACACGTATGTTTATTGCGGCACTATTCACAATAGCAAAGACTTGGAACCAACCCAAATGTCCAACAATGATAGACTGGATTAAGAAAATGTGGCACATATACACCATGGAATACTATGCAGCCATAAAAAATGATGAGTTCATGTCCTTTGTAGGGACGTGGATGAAATTGGAAATCATCATTCTCAGTAAACTATCGCAAGAACAAAAAACCAAACACCGCATATTCTCACTCACAGGTGGGAATTGAACAATGAGGTCACATGGACACAGGAAGGGGAACATCACACTCTGGGGACTGTTGTGGGGTGGTGGGGGGAGGAATAGCATTGGGAGATATACCTAATGCTAGATGACAAGTTAGTGGGTGCAGCGCACCAGCATGGCACATGTATACATATGTAACTAACCTGCACAATATGCACATGTACCCTAAAACTTAAAGTATAATAATAAAAGAAAAAAAAAAAAGAGAAGGTAGGCTCTAGGGGTACATCATAAGATAGATGTCTCCCCAGGAATGAGATGGTAATAATGATGATGTTGATGGGGATAGTGATCATGATGATAATTATTCAACACAAGCCTGCTTATTAGGACAGGCACTGGGAAGACCCTGTGATTTAATCGTGGAAAAGACTCACCACTTGCCCTCAAGGAGCTCATGGTTTAGTGAGGAAAGAGACCTAATCAAAGGATCCCACTGATAATTTGCAGATATGACTGCGAAATCTTACAGAGAAGTCAGAGCTGCTGCATTGCACAACTACGAAAGTGGCCATCCACGTTGTGCGTGGGGAGTGGGATGGGGGATTTGATCTACTCAGGGATGCCTGAATGCTTTACTGAGGTCATTGGTTTGAATTGAGATCTAAAGGAAGCGGAAGATTTGTTGGTGAAGTAGAGGGGAAGAGTGTTCTCAGAGAAAACAGCATGTGCAAAGAGCCTGTGATGGGGACAGCATGGCACATTTGAGGAACGGAAAGAGGACCAATGTGCCTGGAGCACAGAGGCCAGGAAAGCCTGGTATATTATGAGGTTTTAGAGGCAGGTAGGGGTCAAACTATGATGGCTTGTAGGTCATTAACATTTTGGTCTTCACCCTCCAGCCAAAGAGAAGCTAGTCAATATTTTAAGTATGGTCAGATTTGAGTTACTCAAAGATCACTTTGGCATGAATGTGGAGAAGATATTGGAAGAGCATCAAAGTGGGAGTGAGAAGAAAAATCAGAAGGTCTATTCAATGTGAGAGATGACTGGAACTGTGATAATAATGAAGATACATGAAAATGTATTGAACTGTAGCTGTATAGCAAACCCTATGCTCAGTGCTTTATATGTATTATCGAAAGCATGCCTAGAAAATAGTGGTGCTCTGTCAAAATAAGTTCACATTTCCACATCCCCTACAGTTTCACTGCATTAATCCAGCAAAATGCAGTTGCTTTAGAGTCAACTGGACACCCAAAAGGCAAGACCAAAGACTGAGACTTCATCTTATAATATTTTATTATAAATTATTTTGGCTCCATATCTCTCTGATGCTAGGTAGAGGCAGATGTGAGTGCTTTGCAGCAAAGATACAGCAAATCAAGAAGTGTAAATGCTTCCAAGCCTCTGAGAACCAAAGCTGCCAGGAGTTTGTAGAAATATCTGCCTGCACATACCTGATTGAAAAATAAATCCTCAAACTTCAATTATTATGTTATATCTATTTACTTGTATCTCTCAAGTTTTAAGTAAGTTAAAAAGGGATTAAGTATAGCAGCTAATAGAATGGTGTTCCATTGTGCTCACGAATTTCTATTTATTTTTGAGTCATTCATTTATTAAACAAGTATTTGCTTTACTGACTACTATGTGAAAGGCCCTGTTCTAGACACTGAGGACAATAGTGAAGAAAACAGATGAGAATTCCTGCCCATGTGGAGCTTATGCTGTAAGGGAAGAAAGGCAAACCATACACAAGATGTGTAAGTAAAATACATGTATGTTAGATGAGACACATACAGCAAACAGGATGCATTCTATAATTTATACTAAATTAATACTAGAGAATAGTATGAATCCTATAAAAAATAGTTTTGTCTTAAGGAGGAAAGTAAAGCAGAGAAACAGGGAATGTCAAGTATAGATGCATTTGAGGTTGTGATTTTAGACATCTCAAGAAGGCCTCAATGAGTCAGTAACATCATAAATACCTAACAAAGATAAGAGAGCAAGCCATGCAAATATTTGAGGCCAGAATATTCTTGGCAGAAATAACATATGTGCCAAATCTCTGAAGCACTAGCAACTCTTAATTCAAATGGTATTTTTGCTTCATGTTGATTTACAAATTTGTAATATTGCTATAAATATCATCTTATATTGGCACAAAATAAGACTAAGTGGGTTTCTTTTTTTTTGCTTTATCACTCCAAACTCCATTTAATGTGGCATACAAGGTGTTTAGTGGGTTTTTTAAAATCACAAATTGTATTATTTTTAAACATTCCTTTAAGTTAGAAAAGACAAAGATTATTGAAAATATTAAGTGGGTTATAGATATTTTCACTGCATTTTTAAATTTAAGACAATATTAATAAAGTCCTTGATGTCAAAGATGAACATATTACCCCACCAGATTTTTGTTCATTTTTATTTTATACATTTTCAAATTTTATAAAATTTCAACTCTTTTTGTAATTATAATTTGTACAGATTTTTCAGATGGTGAACATATAATAAAAATAAAACAGAACATAGCCAGGCGTTGTGGCGCACGCCTGTAATCCCAGCTACTCGGGAGACTGAGGCAGGTTCACTTAAACCCAGGGGGCTGGAGGTTGCAGTGAGCCGAGATCACTTGAACCCAAGAGACAGAGGTTGCAGTGATCTGAGATCACACCACTACAATCCAGCCTGGGCAACAGAACGAGACTCCATCTCAAAAAAAAAATAAAAATAAAATAAAAAATAACAAACAAGCAAAAACCCTTAATGATATGAAAGAAAACAACTAGGGAGGTTATTGGATTGCATGGTCCAAGAACTCTCTTAGTGGGTAACACCTAATCCAAGACAGGAATGCTCCCAAGATGCCAGCCATGCCAAACTGAGTGCAGAACGTCTCCATGTTGAGCAATCTCCTAGAAACTGGTATAGTCTCCCTGTGTACAGTTAAAATCTTTCTGCGTTGTGAGGAATTCTCATATTAAATACTTCTTAAATGTTTCCTCTTGCATTTATTAAGGTCTCTATTTCAGGGACCTCAGTTACCCTTAACTGAATTATTTTTGCCTGTTCTCCATATCTATTAGTTTCATTCTAATCACTTAAATCTTTTCCTTTCCAACCATATATTCTGTGACTATCACAAGTCTTCCTTTTAAGTTGGAAACTTTATTTTAAGAATATATTCTGTTCTTTGCTGTTTCTACTTTCCTTCAGTGAAGATGTTTTGGTCTTCAAATTTATTGCCTTTAGGCCTGTGATTTTCTATTTATTAGTGGGTTTTTTGTTGCTTTTCAAAAATTATCTCATCCCTGGGTATTCATTATTTAATTGATATCTTCCTATTAAGTGCTTGTGGTACATTTCTTTGTTTTGGAGTTACACTTTCTCCTAGGCTGGATATTTTCTTTCTGTGCTACGATTTTGATTGTCTTCTATTGTTTTCAGTCATCAATTCCATTCATTTTCCTTCTATTTTACTCACACTTGGGCAGTTTGGTCCAGATTTTCTCCTTGGCTTCTTTCTGCCCTATCTCAAAACTGTTTGTTGTACCCTCCACAGTTGTGGTTTGAAGATGAGGCATTTTGTGTTCTATCCATAATTTCCTATGGCTTGAGAGCCTAATGGGCTGAGAGCAGAACTCAGCTGATGGACCGTCTTGTAATATCTGGGCTATGCTCTCATTTCTAAGATTTCATCAAATGTTTGGTGTGAGAGCTCAATCCATATTATTGGAGAACATTTCCATTCCTGTAGAAGTTCACCTCAGCCTTTGGGTCAGCCCTCTGACTGCACGTTCTCTTCTCTTCCAGTATCAGCCCTGCTGTGCATGCCTCTGTTTCTTCAGCTTTTTCCCAGTGCTGCTTCTACCACTCCTTAATTAAAAGAGAATTCCCAGTTAGATCTCTTGACAAATCTGGCAGTATTGCTGATAAATTTCAGAATCTCTCTAGTCTCCAGTGTGGCTTCTTAGCCATGTCACATATCTGCAAGTTGCTGAGGAAACTTAGGTTTCTTTCTTTAAGCCATTGCATCATACTCATTTAATTGATGGTGGTGATTTTGATGTTTTTGCTAGAATATGTGCTGTTGTTCATTCTACCGTCTAAACTAAATCTCCCATTTTCCTTATATATTTATATTCTCTAGCTTTTTCCATTTACCTGTATACAAACAGATTCAAAATCAAGTAACATTGAAACACTGTTGTCCAGAAAATATGTTAAAATGAGTGAATATGAAAGCTAAAATAAATTCCTAGTATGTTTCCTAATTTGCCTAATTAGCTGAGTTTCTGCTCATCACATTTTTTTAAGAAAATCAAAATTATTATTATCAAAAAGAGCAGACCAGGCACAGTAGCTCACATTGTAATCCCAGTGCTTTGGGAGACCAAGGTGGGAGGAAAGCTTGAGCCCAGGAGTTTGAGACCAGTCTCTGCAACATAGGGAGATCCCATCACTACAGAAAAAAAAATTTTTTTTTAATTAACTGGGCATGGTAGTGCACACATGTAGTCCCAGCTACCCAAAAGACTGAGGCAGAAGAATCGCTTGGACACAGGAGGTCAAGGCTATAATGAGCTGTGATCATACTACTGCAATCCAGCCTGGGCAACAGAGTGAGGCCTTGTCTAAAAATAAACAAATAAATAACATTTGAATAATTTAGTCTTAAAAATATTGTTTATAAATAAAATGTAATGATGGGCCATGGAATAATAGAATTTCTTTCAAAGGAGAGAGAGAGAGAAAGAAAGAAAGAGTCCTTTTTTTCTTTTTTGAGCTATGCACGTTTTGCTATGATTTCTCTGCTCTCCTCATTTTCTTTTTTGTTTGTTTGCTTATTGTGCTTATTGTATACATGGGTGGCTGTAATCTACATACCCTGAGTATAAAATTCTTATGGTTAATATTGATCCAGAGTTCCTACTAAATAAAGTTGAAAACTTAGAAGCTGTTTTAGAACTGAATCAAGAGAAATGAAGTTCTATAGTCAAATTATTGTGCAGTTTATTTATCTTATCGTCATGGGACCCCAAGAAAAAATATCTATGTCTAAGGGTAACAACTTCTCATATTGCACATATGATGCTGAAATGCTTCAAAACTCATTTTGGTGTTTCAATAAAGGTATTTACCAAATATGAAATATCAGCATTGGGCATAAAATTAATTCATTCATTTGATCAATTTATATTGGATGCCTACGATGTGGCAAGAACTCTTCTGAAGACTGGAGACTCCCTAATGAACAAGATAACATCACTTCCCAGACAGAGCTTTACTTTAGAATGAGGTAGATGGACAATAAACCTGTGAAAAAATAAGTAATTGCTTTACTGGATTCTTAATAAGCATTCTCAACTTTCACCATATACCATTTCAACCCAGTCATTGCAGACCTGAGAGCTGAGACAGTATATTAGTGCAGGCTAATTGCTGACTCATGCCTGAATTGTGTGCTCTGGGTGACAGAACCATTCACACTCTGCTAAGCCAAGAAGGCACTACTATGCATAAAAATATATAAAGAGGGGAGAATAAAAGCTGAAACTCTTTAACGATTGCCCCATTTACTACTCTACCATCTATAGAGAGGAAATGGTTATAAGGGCTGTTTAAAGACTGACCTCCATGGTAGATTTTCCTCTCACTGCTAAGATGGCTTTTGTTCACACAGCTGTTTTAAGAACTTCTTTATAAGATTCTACCTGCCTTTTTTCTCTTAGTATATAAAGTATGTGCTGTGCTTCGAGCCTATTAACAAAGCACAATAGGGTTGTTCTGACCTTGATTCCTTATAGAAGAACCCCAATAGGTTTGTCAGTGCAGCTTCCATAGCCGTCTTGAAATATTAGCTGTCTTTACAAGGCAAGAAAGCAGTACCATACAACATTTTGCTAAATTTGGTTTAGACATAATGCATTTCTGTTCAATTCTTCAGACCACATTTACTGGCATTCACTAATTGACACCATATTCATGGCGATAATTTTGCCCAAGTCTGAGATGTGGCAAATAAAGCGATTTAAGTTTCAAGGACAAGTTAGCAGAGAGATGAACAGAGTATTATATTATATTTTTTAAAAAGATAACCCTTATAAAAACCAGAAAATCAGGATATAAGTCTTTGAGCCAACACCCCAAATTGTAATTGTGTTCTATTAATTAGTGTAAAATTTTGAGTTTTATATTTTAATGGGCATTGACATATTCCATGGCAATGATACTAATAGGAAAATCCAAACAAGTTTTTTTAAAAAAGGATTGATGCATACATCCAATTTATCATGCTTAATTAAGTGTACTGAATTATCGGCTTCGATTGTTGCAAGTGTCATCTCCTTTAATGAAACTGGCCACGTAATAGGAGACTGTCACAGTCCCATTTGTCTGTGGGTCTGTGATTGATCAATTTTTGACAACAAAGAAATGTTAACAGGGCTACATGGTGGAGCAGTCACTGGAAAAATCCCTCTCACAATGTTTCTGCCTAATTGTGGAGCACCAGCATCGCCACACATGACATAGCAACACGATTAAATTTCCTTTTGCTCACATTTAGTGGGACCTGTGGGGGTGTGCAGAAATCAATGGGGGATCAGGAGCCTGGAAAATTACATACTTGAAGAATTAATGAACTATAATTCCGTATTACATTCTCAATCACATTGTGCTTCCTTTTCATTAATGAAACTAAATTGGTTTTCCATAGACAGGGTACTTTTAAAAAATGCAATCATGCTTCTGCTCAGATAAAAGAAGAAAAAGTTACCTGCTTTTCAGATGAGGCTTGTTGTATCACGAAACATGTCAGTAGGAAATTTATAGAGAAGAACTTATCTGCTGTGTTAACTCAACCTGTTGAAGTGCCTTGAAATTAGCCTTTAAATCCCTGGCTGGAAATTGTAGCTAATTTCCCAGTCCTTATTCTTTTTAAAGAGAAAAATGTTTTTGAGTTAGATAGTACTATATAGTATAGTGATAATCAAAGACCTCTCTGAATATAATAGATATCTTCTCATAAAAAAAATTCATAGATCAAAATGTAGTTAATATTCAAAATGCTTTTAATATCTTAATAAGTATTTCAGTTGCTTCATATTATTTCTGGGTGCCAAGGCCTAACAGCATTTGGACATAGTGTTCATGCTTTATAAAACTGAAGTCTACGCTTAACTTTTAAAATCTTTAAAGAGGTCTAAAACAGAGCCATTTATAAACTAAAACTATTTTCACTTATTTGGTAATGATTAGTTTAGTTAAAGGAAATAGTTCATCGTTTATACATTGTTGGTGGAAGTGTAAATTAGTTCAACCATTGTGGCAAGCAGTGTGGCAATTCCTCAAAGACCCAAAAACAGAAATAGCATTTGACCCAGCAATCTCATTATTGGGCATATATCCAAAGGAGTGTAAATTGTACTATTGTAAAGACACCTGCATGCATATGTTAATCGCAGCACTATTTACAATAGTGAAAACATGGAATCAACCTAAATACTCATTAATGGTAGACTGCATAAGGAAAATGTGGTACATATATATTATAGAACACTATGCCGCCATAAAAAAGAATGAGATCATGTCCTCTGCAGGAATATTAATGGAGCTGGAGGCCATTATTGTTAGCAAACTAATGCAGTAACAGAAAACCAAATACCACTTGTTCTCACTTATAAGTGGAAGCTAAATGATGAGAAGACATTGACACGTAGAGGAAAACAACAGACACTGGGGCCTATTGGAAGGTGGAAGGTGGGAGTAGGGAGAAGGTCAGGAAAAATAACTAATGAGTACTAGGCTTAATACCTGGGTGATGAAATAATCTGTACAAGAAAATCCCATGACACAAGTTTACCTGTGTAACAAACCTGCACATACACCCCTGAACTTAAAATGAAAGTTTAAAAAAAAGAAAGTAGTTCATCATGCTAGGCATTTTGTACATATTGCTTTCTAATTTAAAAGCCTAACTATATTACAGCATGCTATATATGTATGTGTATATATAAAGCATATATAATGTATATGTGTAATGTATATATATATAAAATATGTATGTACACATATACATACTATATTTCAGAATCACAAATGAGCCTGTGGCAGTCTAATCTCATAAAAGTGAATTCTATCAGGATTCATATGTCAGAAACAATTTCATTAATTTCTGGTTATGTTATTATTATTATATACATATCCCTCAAATTCTGGCCTTTAAGAATCAGTTTGCCTTTCTAAGTTATTATCTTTTAAACATTATAGTGATGATATGATAAACTGTAAAAATATAGAATGTAATACCATCTCTAGATGAGTCAAATTCAAAGGATTTTATGCTTCCACACTCTCACTGTTGTGCTTCATCTTCATGATATCAGATCTAAAATCAAAATTGTCTGAATGTATCTCAATATGGGAATAGCCTAATTATATAAAAACGAATACAGAGTTTTTGTCATTAAGTAGTATAATTTGGAAACACATTACTTAAGGTTGGTTCTCACTATGTGATTATGTGATTCTGCACTCTTTCATGAAATTGTGATACTCTGCTGGGTTTGAACTTTTCCTTTACACAAACTTAGCTACGTTTCCTGCCACCAAACCATAGAGTGTCATTTCTTTTACAATCTTAAATCAAGTCCCTTTTTTTCAACCTTTGTCTCATCTGCAAGTCTTTTAATGATTTTAGGCTTGCTAATCAGACCAACTACACCCAACATATTTTTCTGTTTTACTTTTATAAATATTTAATATTCAAGTCTTCAATTAGTTATTTTTTGATTAGTGTGATTTTATAGGTTGTGTCTATGTATAGTATTTCTGTTTACCTGTATACCCCTTTCAACTTTAAAAATTCCCAAATATAAATATATTTTACCAACATTCCCCACTTTCCTTATCAAATGCCTACAGATTGGGGAAAAGTCCTCATCTATAAAGGGAAGGAATATGTACAAGATTATTGTAAGATGATTGTCTGATCAGGGCAATCGTATGTAGCTTAGTTATGCCAGGAAATACATTTCTATACCTAAGGTAATGATATGAGGTGAATGCCAGGATCTCCATTCTGGTTTAGGGTAGCAAATTAAGCAAAAGAAAACTTAAGGACAAAAGTAATATGAATAGTGTCATATAATAGAATGCCTGTGTCCTCTTTATTTTTTTCCTCCATATTTCTAGGCTATATTTCAGTACATGCTTAAGTCATCATTCCCTTGTTCCCTTGTTTTAGCCTTTCTTTTAGTAGTGTGTCCTCTGTTTTTCATTTTCTCATTACCATAGGATTACTTAGAGTAATTCCAAATTTACTGTAGCACTGAGGTCATTCAACTCTGATTTCTATTTCAAGAACAATTTTTTTAGGTCTTGATTTTTCAAATCAGAGTCTGATCCTAAACTAGGTTAAGTATATGTATCTCCTTTCTATTTGATCATAGTTTTTACAGGAGAATTCCATTAGCATTGCATCTCATTGGCTGAGGTATCTAAAAACCAATAGAAAGATATTAAAATGTATTTTTAAAAGGAAATAGTATTGAGAAATGAGGATGGAGTTACATTTTAAAACTAAAAATGATTTAAGTACTTTTTATCCTGATTCATGAAAACGTATAGAGTTTTTGTGTTTCACTAAAGGTGTAAAACTCCTATCAGATAAAAATGCATATAGTAGGCCAGACGCAGTGGCTCACGCCTGTAATCCCAGCATTTTGGGATGCCAAGGCAGGTGGATCACAAGGTCAGGAGTTCGAGACCAGCCTGACCAACATGGTGAAACCCCATCTCTACTGAAAATACAAAAATTAGCCGGGCCTGGTGGTGCACGTTTGTAATCCCAGCTACTAAGGAGCCTGAGGCAGGAGAATCGCTTGAACCCGAGAGGTGGATGTTTCAGTGAGCCAAGATCATGCCATTGCACTGCAGCCTGGGCGACAGAGACTCCATCTAAAAAAAAAAAAATGCATATAGTAAATAGAGTACTTCATAATTTTCAAAATGCTTTTACAGAAGTATTGTAAAGTAGATATAATTGTTCTTGTTTGTATAGATGATGAAACTCTGTCAGCAAAGTTAGCAAATTTGTCTTAGACCACAGTCATTAAATGGCCATTGCCGAGATTTGAACTCAGATTTTCTGATTACAGCTACAGGTCAGCCCCCAGCTGTAAATATAGGTCAAATTATTGTAGCTCCTATTGCTATTCATAAAACTCTGTGTGTGTGTGTGTGTGTGTGTGTGTGTGTGTGAGTATGTGTAATATCTACTAGTGTAGATGCAAAAAAGCACATATGAACTTTGTGATTAATATCTTGTTTTATTTTCCTGATTAACTTCATCCATTCCTGATAATATTAACCTACTGTCTATGCCATTTCTTCTCCCTGAGTTTGTCTTCCCTTTATTTAGAGGTATAGGTGAATGCTAATTATATGGCGACTTCTGAGGTTTTCCGTTTTCATTTTTAATTTTCTTAAGGGCAAAGGCTGCTGTAATCTCTACAATAGGCATCTACTCTCTAAAAATAATTCAGTACACTAAAAAATCTTGGAAATATCTTTTACATCTCCTGATCACTCACTCACTACATCACATTTGCCATTGAGTTATGTAATTTTGAATTACTTTGTAATTCAAACTAGCTTTTGAATCTCTCCAGGAAGTCTTTCCCACTCTTCATCTTGACTGCAACCATTCTTATCATCCCTCATCTGAACTATTGCCAGAGGCTCCTAAGTTTCCTTTCCCTGTCTTTATGGTCCCTGACTTCGAATTCATTGTCCAAACTGACACTAGAGTAATTGGTTTCAAATTCAGAGGAGACCAATCACTATCCTGCTTCCAGTGATTCCCTATTAGGAGATAAAGTCTAAGCTTCTTAGGAATGTGCAATCCTCAAAATCCTACTCCCACTTGCCACTCCAGCTTCATCTTCTCTCGTTTCCCATTCCTTCCCCACTAGACTGTTCCCTTTCACAATAATCATCATTATAATCTGTAACTGAGAATTGTTGGGTAATGTATTCAGCATTCTATTTGTATTATGATATTTAAGTCTTACAACCCTATGCCCAGAGACATTTAAAATTAGGTTATTCCAATATCATTCAGTTGGTAAGCGTCAAGGCAGACATTGGAACTCAAGCATTCTGACTTTAGTACACTCTCTAGACTAAGCATGTGAGTTTCATGTCTCCTGGGACTTTGCACTTGCTCTTCCCTCAATCTAAAAGTGCTCTCCCTCTCACAGATTTTCTAGCAAACTTGTGTTCGTCTCTCGAAACTTTATTTTTATTTTGATAATCCTGTCACACAAGAGTTACAATACAAGGATAGCAGTCTGTAGACCATCCTCCATCAATTCTAAGATGCACGTATTTCACATTTTAACATTCCAAAAATCAGAAAGTGTCTAATGATGATGTCATTGTTTAATTGGCAGCATTTTTAGTGATACATATAATCGTTATTATGTGCAACTTACAATGAGTGAATTAGTAAGATTAGATAAAATATGATCGTTGTTAGAGTTGAGCATCAAATTTGATACTAAGTCTCTTGAAGGCCAAAACTAAAAGGAGGAGAATATGCTTCACAGATCTGAGGAAGAATGTTCTAAGGTAGAACATTCTTGGCTTCTTAGTGCATCAGCTTTCAAACTTTAAGGCACACACAGATCACCTGGGGAGTATGTGAAAAGACAGATTATCAGACTCCATTACCTGGGATTCTGATTTCATAGGTCTAGGAAAAAGATTAAAAATATCCATTTTTGTAAGGCATCCTCAGAGGATTCTGATTCAGGGGGTCCACACTGTGAGAACCACTGCTGTAAGGGATATACAGTGCTGTTTTCAATGTTTAACTCTCAAGCGGAGCTTCCAAATGTGCATGGGTTGATAGAGGGGATATACCAATAAGGCCCTCATTTCATAGCAAATGCACAGGAATTATATTTGCAGGCTGTCTTCGTGTAGTGTGTAATGAAAGAAAAAGTGAGACCATAATCTGAAAATATATCTTAACATGGTTTTAGGAAAACCAAAATAACACAACCTAGATGTACTCCTTGTATCTAAAATAATAAATGAATAGATTCCTAATAAGCTGTATTTCCTTCAGGCAGTCCTCACAGGCAATTTTATACACACACATATGCATTACATGTTTGTATGTGTGTGTGTGTGCTTGTTTTATTAGATGTGAGTCTAATAGGGCACAACTGTATCTTTATGCCCTCAGGGCCTAGCCTAGTGCCTAGCATGCTGCAAATATCCCACAATGTGCTTTCACACGCATGATTTCATAGTCAAATGCTACACTTTCTTGAGGATACTATATAAATACTGAAAACAGAAATAGTCAGCCCTGAAGACTATTACAGTATTTATACCGTTTCGCTTTCCCTTTGATAATGGAAATTATAACTCATATTCAATATTTCTATTCTGTGTATTTATCCTCAATAAAGAATCTCCTCAAATGCTGCCCCATTACAAAATAAACCATGCATTTTGCTTTCTAGTACTTTCTTCTGTAGGTGCAATTCACCCAAATATATTAATAGCATTCCCCTACTGACCTGAATTTGTCGTTTAACTCACTAAAAACTATAGGTAAAATGTTTAGTTTGAATTGGTAAGTCAACTGTCATATCCTTTCATCACTGAAATTATACAGCTGGATAAATATGAAAAGGGAAATGTTCCATCATATATTATCACAAAGTCATTCATTTAACCATGGAAATGTGTTATCATCCTATTTATGTACTTTTCCAAAATAGTTGCCTTAGGATTATATCAATATATGCTATATTATTGACCTGCAGTAAACTTACTAAAATAAGATTTCTGATAACCATGGTGGACGTTTTCAGCTGGAAATAGTCATAGAATTTTAGGGACCAGAAGCAAACTGGTAATTCTCTGCATTTGTAATATCTGCGGCATTAACCTTTTCTTTCTTCAAACCTATCTGTCAATTTATTTAACAAGTCTAAAATTAGAAAAGGCTATTTCTACTAGAAAGTATCAACGAACTGACAGTTCCGTATTTTCAATGAGAATTAATATTTATAATGATGGCCCCAGGGCACTAGAAGATTCTTTCAAATCAGTAAAGAAAGATTGAGTTATGTTCAACATAGTTTTAAGAGCTAATGGGTTTCTTATCTTGTAATTACTCACAAATGTGTCCTGGCATATATGATGATCTACTTAATTAGACTCACTCTTTAGCTAAGCGGTGCCACCCTTTCCCCAAAAAACTATGGATGAATGATGACTTACTAGGATTAGTATTAGTATACTTGTGTGCATTTTTAAATAATATATCACTTTTAAAGCAGAGCTTCAAATTCAGGATTTAGAATTTTGCTGGTGGCAAAGGCAAGAGAAAAAGAAAAAAAATCACCTATAATTTCTTTCTCCCTTCTGATGTTCCATTCTTTTTTTTTAATTTTTTTTTATTATACTTTAAGTTCTGGGATACATGGGCAGAATGTGCAGGTTTGTTACATAGGTATACATGTGCCATGGTGGTTTGCTGCACCAATCAACCTGTCATCTACATTAGGTATTTCTCCTAATGCTATCCCTCCCCTGTCTCCCAATCCCCATGACAGGCCCCAGTGTGTGATGTTCCCCTCCCTGTGTCCATGTGTGCTCATTGTTCAACTCCCACTGAGTGAGAACATGTGGTGTTTTGTTTTCTGTTCCTGTGTTAGTTTGCTGAGAATGATGGTTTCCAGCTTTATCCATGTCCCTGCAAAGGACAGGAACTCATCCTTTTTTATGGCTGCGTAGTATTCAGTGGTATATATGTGCCACATTTTCTTTATCCAGTCTATCATTGATGGGCATTTGGGTTGCTTCCAAGCTTTGCTATTGTGAACAGTGCTGCAATAAACATACGTGTGCATGTGTCTTTATAGTAGAATAATTTATAATCCTTTGGGTATATGCCCAGTAATGGGATTGCTGGGTCAAATGGTATTTCTGGTTCTAGATCCTTCAGGAATTGCCACATGGCCTTCCACAATGGTTGAACTAATTTACACTCCCACCAACAGTGTAAAAGCATTTCTATTTCTCCACATCCTCTCCAGCATCTGTTGTTTCCTAACTTTTTAGTGATTGCCATTCTAACTGGTGTGAAATTGTATCTCATTGTGGTTTTGATTTGCATTTCTCTAATGACCAGTGATGATGAGCTTTTTTTCGTATGTTTGTTGGTCACACGAATGTCTTCTTTTGAGAAGTGTCTGTTCATATCTTTTGCCCACTTTTTCATGGGGTTGTTTGTTTTTTTCTTGTAAATTTGTTTAAGTTCTTTGTAGATTCTGGATATTAGCCCTTTGTCAGATGGATAGATTGCAAAGATTTTCTCCCATTCTGTAGGCTGCCTGTTCACTCTGATGATAGTTTCTTTTGCTGTGCAGAAGCTCTTTAGTTTAATTAGATCCCATTTGTCAATTTTGGCTTTTGTTGCCATTACTTTTGGTGTTTTAGTCATGAAATCTTTGCCCATGCCTATGTCCTGAATGGTATTGCCTTGGTTTTCTTCTAGGGTTTTTATAGTTTTAGGTCTTACATTTAAGTCTTTAATCCATCTTGAGTTAATTTTTGTATAAGGTGTAAGGAAGGAGTCCAGTTTCAGTTTTCTGCATATGGCTAGCCAGTTTTCCCAGCACCATTTATTAAATAGGGAGTCCTTTCCACATTGCTTGTTTTTGTCAAGTTTGTCAATGAATGTTGACAGATATGTGACGTTATTTCTGAGGCCTCTGTTCTGTTCCATTGGTCTATATATCTGTTTTGGTACAAGTCTCATGCTGTTTTGGTTACTGTAGTCTTGTACTGTAGTTTGAATTCAGGTAGCTTGATGCCTCCAGCTTTGTTCTTTTTGTTTAGGATTGTCTTGGCTATACAGACTCTTTTTTGGTTCCATATGAAATTTAAAGTGATTTTTTCTAATTCTGTGAAAAAAGTCAATGGCAGCTTCATGGGGACAGCATTGAATCTATAAATTACTTTTGGCAGTGTGGCCATTTTCACTATATTGATTCTTCCTATCCATGAGCATGGAATGTTTTTACCTTTGTTTGTGTCCTCTCTTATTTCCTTGAGCAGTGGTTTGTAGTTCTCCTTGAGGAGGTCTTTCACATCCCATGTAAGTTGTATTCTTATGTATTTTATTCTCTTTGTAGCAATTGTTAATGGGAATTCACTCATGATTTGGCTGTCTATTAGTGTATAGGAATGCTTGTGATTTTGGCACATTGATTTTGTATCCTGAGCCTTTGCTGAAGTTGCTTATCAGCTTAAGGAGAGTTGAGGCTGAGACAATGGGGTTTTTAAAAATATAAAATCATGTCATCTGCAAACAGAGACAATTTAACTTCCTCTCTTCCTATTTGAATACCCTTTATTGCTTTCTTTTGCCTGATTACCCTGTCCAGAACTTCCAATACTATGTTGAATAGGAATGGTGAGAGAGGGCATTCTTGTCTTGTGCTCATTTTCGAAGGGAATACTTCCAACATTTCCCATTCAGTATGATATTGGCTGTGGGTTTGTCATAAATAGCTCTTATTATTTTGAGATACATTCCATCAATTCCTAGTTTATTGAGTGTATTTAGCATGAAGCGGTGCTGAATTTTATTGAAGGCCTTTCTGCATCTATTGAGATAATCATGTGGTTTTGGTCATTGCTTCTGTTTTTGTGATGGATTATGTTTATTGATTTGCATGTGTTGAACCAGCCTTGCATCCCAGGGATGAAGCCGACTTGATCATGGTGGATAAGCTTTTTGATGTGCTGCTGGATTTGGTTTGCCAGTGTTTTATTGAGGATTTTTGCATCCGGGTTCACTGGGGATATTGGCCTGAAATTTTCTTTTTTTGTTGTGTCTCTGCCAGGTTTTGGTATCAGGATGATGCTGGCCTCATTAAATGACTTAGGGAGGAGTCCTTCTTTTTCTATTGTTTGGTTAGTTTCAGAAGGAATGATAGCAGCTCCTCTTTATACCTCTGGTAGAATTCGGCTGTAAATTCATCTGGTCCTGGGCTTTTCTTTGGTTGGTAGGCTATTAATTACTACGTCAATTTCAGACCTTGTTATTGGTCTTTTCAGGGATTCGACTTCTTCCTGGTTTAGCCTTGGGAGGGTGTATGTTTGCAGGAATTTATCCATTTCTTCTAGATTTTCTAGTTTATTTGCATAGAGTTGTTTATAGTATTCTCTGATGGTAGTTTGTATTTCTGTGGGATCAGTGGTGATATCACCTTTATCATTTTTTTAATTATGTCTATTTGACTCTTCTCTCTTTTCTTCTTTATTAGTCTAGCTAGCAGTCTATCTATTTTGTTTATCTTTTCAAAAAACCAGCTCCTGGATTCATTCATTTTTTGAAAGGTTTTTAATGTCTCTATCTTCCTCTGTTCTGCTCTGATCTTAATTATTTCTTGTCTTCTGCTAGCTTTTGAATTTGTTTGCTCTTGCTTCTTTAGTTCTTTTAATTGTAATGTTAGGGTGTTAATTTTAGATCTTTACTGCTTTCTCCTGTGGGCATTTAGTGCTATAAATTTCCGTCTCAACAATGCTTTAGCTGTGTCCCAGAGATTCTGGTATGATATGTCTTTGTTCTCATTGGTTTCAAATAACTTCTTTATTTCTGCCTTAATTTCATTATTTACCCAGTAGTCACTCTGGAGCATGTTGTTCAGTTTCCATATAGTTGTGTGGTTTCGAGTGAGTTTTTTAATCCTGAGTTCTAATGTAATTGCACTGTGGTCTGAGAGACTCTTTGTTATTATTTCCAATTTTTTGCATTTGCTGAGGAGTTTTTACTTCCAGTTATGTGGTCAATTTTAGAATAAGTGTGATGTGGTGATGAGAAGAATGTATATTCTGTTGATTTGGGTGGACAGTTCTGTAGATGTCTATTAAGTCCACTTGGTCCAGAGCTGAGTTCAAGTCCTGAATATCCTTGTGAATTTTCTGTCTCATTGATCTGTCTAATATTGATGGTGAGGTGTTAAAGTCTCCCACCATTATTGTGTGGGAGTCTAAGTCTCTTTGTAAGTCTCTAAGGACTTGCTGTATGAATCTGGGTGCTCCTGTATTGGGTGCATATATATTTAGGATAGGTAGCTCTTCTTGTTGCATTCATCCCTTTACCATTATGTAATGCTCTTCTGTGTCTTTTTTGTCCTTTGTTGGTTTAAAGTCGGTTTTATCAGAGACTAGGATTGCAACCCCTGATGTTTTTAGCTTTCCATTTGTTTGGTAAATATTCCTCCATCCCTTTATGTTGAGGCTATGGGTGTCTTTGCACGTGAGATGGGTCTCCTGAATACAGCACACCGATGGATCTTTACTCTTTATCCAATTTGCTAGTCTGTGTCTTTTAATTGGGGCATTTAACCTATTTACATTTAAGGTTAATATTGTTATGTGTGAATTTGATGCTGTCATTGTGATGCTAGCTGGTTATTTTGCCCATTAGTTGATGCAGTTTCTTCATAGTGTCAATGGTCTTTACAATTTAGTATGTTTTTGCAGTGGCTGGTACCAGTTTTTCCTTTCCATGTTTACTGCTTCCTGCAGGAGCTCTTGTAAGGCATGCCTGGCAGTGACAAAATCTCTCGGCATTTGCTTGTCTGTAAAGGATTTTATTTCTCCTTCACTCATGAAGCTTAGTTTGGCTAGATAATGAAATTCTGGCTTTGTTTACACCATGACGGGAAAACCATCTACTCAAGCTTCAGTAATGGTGGACACCCCTATCCCCACCAAGCTCGAGCTTCCCAGGTAGACTTCAGACTGCTGTGCTGGCAGCAAGAATTTCAAGATAGTGGATCTTAGCTTGCTGGGCTCCATGGGAGTGGGATCCGCTGAGCTAGACCACTTGGCTCCCTGGCTTCAGCCCCTTTTCCAGGGTAGTGAACGGTTCTGTCTCACTGGTGTTCCAGTCGCCACTGGAGTATGAAAAAAACCTCCTGCAGCTAGCTCAGTGTCTGCCCAAACAACCGCTCGGTTTTGCGCTTGAAACCCAGGGCCCTTGTGTCATAGGCACCTGAGGAATCTCCTGGTCCGTGGTTTGCTAAGACCATGGGAAAAGCATAGTATCTGGGCTAGAGTGCACCCTTCCTCATGGCACAGTCCCTCACAGCTTCCCTTAGGGAGGGGAGGGAGTTCCCTGACCCCTTGCACTTCCCAGATGAGGTGACGCACCCCCTCCCGCCGACCAGCCCTGGCTTTGGCTCGCCCTCCCTGGGCTGCACCCACTGTCTAACCAGTCCCAATAACATGAGCCAGGTACCTCAGTTGGAAATGCAGAAATCACCCACCTTCCACGTTTATCTCTCTGAGAGCTGCAGACCAGAGCTGTTCCTATTTGGCCATCTTGCCAGCCCCTGATGTTCCATTCTTTACCTTCTATCTTGTTTTGTCTTGAACATCAGAGAAGAACTAATTAATTTGTTTTATGGACTATTTTTTATGCAGCTAGAAATAGTGAAATTGGATTAGAGCTCAATCGATTATCCATTTTGTACTTTGTACCATCCAGTCTTTCCCCTTTTACTGGTCCCATTTCCTCAACCTGTAAACATATTCAAGTTTCATTACCTTAAGTAATTCCTTAAATCCTTGCTTTTGTTTTCTTCTCAAAATACCAACGTAGCCCTCTCCTTTCCTTCATAGGCAAACTTTTTGAAATGAAATCTGTATTTCCCGTCTCTATTTTCTTGATGTTCCATTCACTTTTTAGCTTATTTCAATTTGTACTCCCCCATGTTCCATGTGAATTGCTACATCCAGTGTCCTCTCTTCCATTTTCATTTGACTGAACCATTTTGAACTGTGGACAGTTCTCTTTGTTGAAATCCTTTTTCTACTTTTACTGCTCGGGGTGCCCTTTCTTGGATCTCTTCTTCCTTTGGTTCCTCTTTTTCAGTCTTGTTTTCTCTCGTGAATACTCCCCTTTACAATTCCATCCTCTCATTTATTTCCATGGCTTCATTTCATTTTTGCAGTATATATCAAACAATACCAAATTTGCACTTGGTTCTCAATCTCTCTTGAACCCCATACCTGTGTTTTCAATAGCCAATTCAACATATTTACCCAGATTTCTCACAAACACTAAAATCTCAACGTAGTCTAAAGTGATCTTCCATGATTTTTTTCTCCATTACCTTCAGTTGAAGTGACAACATGTCAGTTAGTCACCAAGTCTTGTAGATTCCACCTCTTCAGTACCTCTGCATTGATCCTCTTGGCAATGATCATCATTATCTTTATTTGTCCTCTTCAGTGTTCTTCCTTTCTCTAATATAGCTCTCTTTCTACCATCTCCCCTTCAACTTTACCTCCAAATCCTGTTACTGCCCCGTCTCTACCCTTAACTGATAACAGCATTTCAGAGGCTAAGACCAGAAAAAGAATTTTGATGCTTTTTGTTTCTATTTTGCAGTAATGTTATCATAGATAGTGGGAGCAGTGGTCCCTTGGTGAAGAACATCAGAATTTGGCAAGTAATCTGTAACTCAAAAGGGGCTGGGCAAAATGGTAGGATCCAAAGATAAACTTTCCAAAGCAGAGGTGGGGGGCCCTGGTTCAAGGCTGGGACCAGGACATTTCATGGGAGAACGAGAAAGGATGTGTGGGAGTGCATCATCTGCTTCTTTCAGCCATTAGCATGCTGAGAGAGCTTCAGGGGACAATTCATTATTGAACACTCTACTCAAAAGCTTGTTCATCTCCACATTGCTTTCAGGATAATATCTAAAATTTCAGGTCCAACAAACAAATCCCTTCACCATCTGGCCCCAACCTATATATTCACCTTGTCTCTTGCCACCTCCCTTCACAAAAATATGCACCTGCCACATTGAATCACTCACTCTTCTTCCATCATTGTCGTCATCCCATGTCCATGCACAGGCTCTTCCCTTTGTTTGGAATTCCTTTACCAGCTTGTCTATCTAATCATTTTAGAAGTCACTTGCTTTGCATAGCGTTTCTGGCAGAGTACAGGACCTCTGTTATGAATTCTGAAAATTCATTTCTAGTGATTTGTTAACATGTTTATACCCCTGAACTAGCTGCTGGAGAGCTGGATCTTAGCTGGGTTAGTACCTTTAACAAAGCCCCTCACATCCATGGAGGAGGCCCAGTTTGCTATTAAAGTGCCAGTGTCTGTTTCTTTAGGTAGAGGAATTGCTCCAGGTTGATTCCCACTTTCTCTGATTTCTCAGCTTAGGTGATCCTATATCTGGCTTCTCACCCTATTTCTAGTACCATTGGACTGATGACCTACTAAGATTGCCATTTGGGTGCTGGGTTTATTGTTTGTTTCATCCCCGCATGCTGCTCATAGATCTTGATCTCACACACTCCCCCAACCCCAAGGACAAGCTCTGCCTATCCTTTTTTCCCACTTAAGATTTCAAATCAGCCCCTCTGGGTAAGCACCTGCTTTCCTGGAACAGAGACTAGCTCATTTGTTGCTGCATCCACAGTGCCCAACATGGTATTTGGAACTTATTAGACTCTAATAATATTTGTCTGAATGGATTGGATTTTAAAAACCCTGAAGTAAACTGCACAGACCTTATTTTCCCTTGTATCATGCCAGCTATGCTGGATTAGCATCATCAAATTAAAGAGACTGTACCCCTCCCTTCTCTTATGTATTATGCAGGCAAAAGAAGCTCAAGAGCTTACTTTGGTAAGTTATCAATAGTCCAGATTGGTACTTGCTTTCTAACTGCTGTGCTCGACAGAGTGGACCTGAAGGCAGCATGCACCTTGGGTATATGTGTACCTAAAGCCTGTGAGCCTTCATAGCTTTATTTCCCAGATCTCTGGTGCCTGGTGCCTAGACATCCTCTCTTTAATCAATCCCCCACTGATAAAATAAGGGAAGCAGGGAATGAAAGATAAATATTATGTTATCCATCCCCAGGCAGATTTGCTGCTAGATTTGTCTCCTGCTTAGATGGCCTTTTCAGAAACTCAGTCATGTCAAATCACACAGCAGGAAATCCCAAGGAGCTTTCTGAATTGGGGTATTGAGTTTGCTTTTCTTGGCCTCCTGTCATGCTGGTCTCTGCAACTTTTAATACAGTGGGCCTGAAATTTATCATGGGTTGAAAGGTTATTGTGATTCAATTCTGAGACTCCAGTGTCCACTCCTCACTTAGCAGACTTGGCAGCTGATCCCATTGCTAGCAGTGGGTCTTTGAAGTAGATGATGGTGTCAGTTGGGGTACATGGCTAATGAGCTTTAGGAAAGCCTACTAAAACTAATGTTATTCTTCCACTCAATGTTTATTGTCAGCAATATGAAGGTTCGAAGACTCATAAGAAATACTCCCTACTCTAGGAGCATGACCTCAAAAAGAGAGCTGGAGATGGTAAGCCACACACCAAAATAGCTATAAAACCAGTTACTTATTTTAGGAGATGCATAATGAACCTGTAAGCACTGTATTCAGAGGGAAAACAGATTCCTACTCAAACTGAATCTGACCTTCCAGCCCTCACAAGACTCTACTTTCCACAACTAGGTTAATTGATTTCCAAACAGGTTGAGTAGGCTGCTGCTCACAGACCCCTCCACCTGAACCCCAACCAGTTCTGACTTGGGTACTCCAGACCTTCCACTCAGTTATCTTTGCTGTCAGCATCATCTACGAAGAATGACTCCATGACTGACATGCTGAGTTCAGTTATTATTCAGAGTTGGAGTATGTCTTCCTCCAGCACATGGCTTCCCCATTCTAAAAGGAGGCTACCTACTCTGTGTTTCTAAACCTGTGTCTGTGAAATTTCTTTTTATTAATGTGTACTAAACTATTGTGTTCCTGTTAAGTAACTCCCCATTTTAATACCTGAGTTTCCAAACACACACAGTCTTGCTTCACACCAACTCTCCCTCCTCAATTCTCCCACTTCCTGTAACTGAAGGCTAATTCTGGCTCCTTTGGGAAGGACAGTTTGTTACCTTAAGTATCTGGAAGTTCTTTAGTTGTTGACAGTCATACACCAGTAAATCATTAGAGACCAATTTCTGACCATTGTATTGAATATGTGCATAAAATTGGGAACACATTTTTATTCCATATGTTTTAATAGCTTTTTAAAAATTGAAATTGACATACAGTAAACCCCACATATTTAAAGTGTAAAGTTTGATAAGTTTTAATATATGTTATACATCCACGGAATCATCATCACAATCAAACTAGCGAACATATCCATTATCGCCAAAATTTTCATGGTATCCCTCTGCAAGACCTCATTCCAACTCCCTCTCCCCTAAGCCTAGACAACCCCTGATTTGCTTTCTGTCATTGTATGTTACTTTGCATTTCCTAGCATTTATGTAAGCATAATCATATAGTATGTACTGTATTGTTTTTCTGTTTTATATTTGATTTATTCTCACCATGATCTCTAATATTAGTTGACAGTTATCCAGGCTGGTTAGAGATCCATGTGTAAATAGATATCTTAACACACTATGGCTCCATTTGTGGGTCTGCCACCTGTGAACAAGATGGCATCCATTCAAAGTTTTCAAATGTGCAATTTTTCTAAAACGTCTGTAATCAGAAGGCTACATTATTTTATAGCTCAAGTTTGGAGTCCATTCTGCAGATTCCTCATGATAATATAGTAATATGCCGGTAGCAACTGCCAGCATAAGGTAGTTTCCCACACACAGTACATGATATCTGCAATCTGAAGTCTGTCCTGTTTTGCTAGTACTCCTACCATATTGGAGGCTAATTAAGCCCTAAAATATTTGCGCTTTACTACATCATATTTGGGTGAAACTAGCATGTGCAAGTAGCTTAAATGCACAGATGTGTGCGTGTGTGTGCATGTGTGTGTGTGGAATAATGTGTTGATAGAAATGAGCAGTCTCTTTAGTTTGGAACATTTAAATCCTATATTCTCACAATGTCCAATTCATTGTCCTCCGTGGTATTACTTTATGATTTACTTTCAAAAACACCCTACTTTTTGTCTCTTTGTTTCGTTGATATATAATAGTTGTGCATATTTGGGGGTACATGTGATTTTCGATACCCATATACAATGCATACTGATCAAATCAGGGTAATTGGAATATCCATCCCTTCAAACATATACTATTCTACTTATTTTAAGCATTCATGGTTCATAGTTCACTATATATTTGACCTTTTTAAAATTTACTGCCTTACACTAGGTTATAGAAGTGATTGTTTTGATTCTTCTTTTAAAAAAATAGGAGAAGAGCACTTTATATATTTGTGAAGGTGGAAATTCTTGGGTATATTTAAGAATGTTGCTTGGCTGTAGATATGAAGCCAAATAGCAGTCTAAAACTAGCAGTTATTCTTTTAGAAATCTACTTTCTTAGGGTCAAAGGTTATATTAGGTCATGAATCAACCTGGGAGATAGAGGTGAAGAGACTTATTTTTTTTTTTTTCTTTTTTTATTATTATTATTATACTTTAAGTTTTAGGGTACATGTGCACATTGTGCAGGTTAGTTACATATGTATACATGTGCCATGCTGGTGCGCTGCACCCACTAACGTGTCATCTAGCATTAGGTATATCTCCCAATGCTATCCCTCCCCCCTCCCCCGACCCCACCACAGTCCCCAGAGTGTGATATTCCCCTTCCTGTGTCCATGTGATCTCATTGTTCAATTCCCACCTATGAGTGAGAATATGCGGTGTTTGGTTTTTTGTTCTTGCGATAGTTTACTGAGAATGATGGTTTCTAGGAAATGTTCACCTTTAACCAACTCTGCAGAGTCCAATTGAAATAGAGAGATAAATAGAGTAGATAATAGAAGCTGACCAAATAAAATCTCAGAGATGAGAGTTCCAAATTATAGGTCATATTTTATGGCACAGTTGGGATCCTTGGCCTATGGAAAAATAAAATTTGAAAGTCACAGCAACAACTTTAAGACATTGAAAGAGAGAGTGCTATTATTAATGTGGGGCTTTGGGATAGTTTCCTCAAAATGTAAACACAAGTAACTGGCTTCTTTTTGTTCTTACAGTCTTAACATCACATACTAAAAATCGTTTGGTATGTGCTTTCTTTGTGGAGAATTCTATGTAACATGGTAAGAGCTGGTAGTAATAATAAAATAAATATTAGTATGTCTTTCTTTTCCCCCTAAAACCTGGAAAAAGAAACAATCTAATATAAAATTTTAGTATAATTATCTTCATTGCAAGAGACCTGTAATTGAAGTTTTCTGTGAAATTCAATAAATACAGTCTATCTGAGTGGGAAGTTTGAACTTATCAGCCAGACAAAAAGAAATGATTATTTTAAAGAAAATATGTGAAGGTTTTTAGCACTTTTAAGGCTTAGAAACCCTTCTAAAAGATGATTATAGGACTTTAATTTTAGTATCATCTTTAAAAATGACAGGTTACAAGGATGTTATTCATCTCCTCCGTAATATTGAAGAATGAAGAGGGAAAGCAATCCAAAGTTACCAATTAAACCTTTGGTTACACTAATCTTTCAGAAAAATTTATGTTTGCTGTACTTGAAAATGTTATTAAATTACATGCAATGAGCCAACTACCTAAATATTCTAATTAAGTGATCTTTTTAAAATTTGCCTTACTTTGCATCCCAGACATCACAGACACCACATTAGCAGTAATATGCCTAGTAGCTGCAATGGAAACTCCCCAAGCTTAGCAGCCAGACCAGTCATTTTTCTGGGACCAGTCTCCCGAAAGCATACCTAGGAATGCCTACATGCACGACCTGTGTTTCCCTGGGCTCCTTCAGTTTGTGTGTCCAGGAGAATTTCATGTTCTCTGAGGGGATTCTAGTAGGCAATGCTACAAGAGAGTGCTTTATCTTATGAGTAATAAAAGCTTTTGGTTTCATTTGCTTTAGTTATTACTTGGTGGTTTTTTTAAAAAGCCACTGTGGGCTCCTTCAGTCCAAGTTGGGCACTAAGCCCTACCTATACTACCTTAGAATTGTCTTCCAGATATTTACACAAGCCTCACATCATCTCCTCATCAAACCACTTCCTGATTTTTCCAAACACCATTAACCATTATACCCACTTAGAATTCTATGAGTTTTCCAGTTTTTGTTGCTATTGCCTGTGTGAACTGAGGGTAGGCACTGAAGAAGGGGGAGAAGGCACTTGGGAGAGGAGAAGGCCATTGAGAGAGGAGAGAGAATGAGAAATAAAAGGAAGCACACATATTAAATACATCAAGTTTACTCCTGCTATACAGATCTGTCTCTCTGACTGCTAATGAACTTTCTTTACTCATGTATCCTCAAGACCTACTAATTAGCAGATTCTCATGAGTGAATAAATTAATGTAAATGTGAATGCACATGACATATATATTATATATGCATCTGGAAAAATTAACATGCATATTTAAGGGTGAATAAATCAGAAAACAGGGTACACAACGAATGATACCTGGATTTTCTGTGCATGGATGCATGAAAGATGTAGATTTTAAATAGTTTACTTAGGATATAGTATTGAATTAGGGGAATATTTTTAAACCACTTCATTGAGGTATGCTTGATAGACAAAAGGCTGTATATAATTAATGTCTACATCTTGATGAGTTTAGGGATACATATATACTTGTGAAACTGTCAGTACCATCAACATATTCATCACCTCCCAACGTTTTCTTTTGCCTCATTACAATTTTATTGCTTTTTGTACTTGTTTATTGGTAAGAACCCTTTAACATAAGATCTACTCTCTTAGATATAAAAGAGAGTATTGTTAGCTGTAGATACTATGCTGTATAGTAGATACCCAGAACTTACTTATCTTGCATAACTGAAACTTTGCACAGTTTAACCATCACCTTCCCCTTTCCCCTTAACCTCAGCTGCTGGAAAACACCATTCTACCTTGCTGCTATGAGTTTGGCTGTTTTAGACTCCACATATAAGTA
This sequence comes from Homo sapiens, assembly GCF_000001405.40. NCBI lineage: Eukaryota > Metazoa > Chordata > Mammalia > Primates > Hominidae > Homo > Homo sapiens. The sequence goes on along the minus strand of NC_000012.12, from coordinate 44,550,789 downwards.
AGATTATACAGCACTTATCTTTCTGTGTCTGACTTATTTCACCATATGTTATGCCCTCCTGGTCCGTCCGTGTTGTCACAAATAACAGAATTTTCTTCCTTTTTAATGCTGTATAGTATTTCATTGTATGTATATACCACAATTTCCTTATCTGTTCATTCATTGGTGGACATTTAAGTTGTCCCCATAACTCGGCTATTTATTTATTTATTTATTTATTTATTTATTTATTTATTTATTTATGTTGAGATGGAGTCTCACTCTGTTGCCCAGGCTGGAGTGCAATGGCATAGTCTCAGCTCTCTGCAACCTCTACCTCTCGGGTTTAAGCGATTTTCCTGCCTCAGTCTCCTGAAAAATACAAAAAAAAAAAAATTAGCCTGGCATGGTGGCATGTTCCTGTAATCCCAGTTTGGCTATTTTAATAATGCTGCAGTGAAGGTGAGAGTTCAGATATCTCTTCAAGATCCTGATTTCAAGTTATTTGGATATATATGTAGTCATTGTATTTTTAATTTTTTATTTTGAGTTGATTTTTTAATTTTAAGTTGATTTGAGTTCTGTATGCTTTAAGATAAGGGCCCAGTTTCATTCTTTTGTGTGTGAATATCCAGTTTTCTCCACATCATTTTTGAAGAGACTTTCCTTTCCCCATTGTGTATTCTTGGCACTCTTGTTGAAAATTAGTTGACCATGTATGTGTGGGTTTATTTCTGGACTCTCTATTCTGTTTCCTTGGTCTGTGTGTCTGTTTCTGTGCCAGTACCATGCTGTTTTGATTGCTATTTTTGTAATAGAATTTCAAATCAGAAAGTGTGATACTTCCAGCTTTGTTCCTCTTATTTAAAACTTCTTTGGCTATCCCGGGTCTTTTGTGGTTCTATATGAATTTCAGAATTTTAAATTTTATTTCTGTGAAAAATGCTATTGGAGTTTTGATAGGAATACATTGGCTTTGTAGATTGCTTTGGGTAGCATGGACATTATAACAATGTGAAGCCTTCCAATCCATGAACTTAGGATATCTTTCCATTTATTTATATCTACTTTAATTAATTTCATTATGTTTTATAGTTTTTAGTGTACAAAAAGAATAAAAGTATTTTATTCTTTTTGATGCTATTGTAAATGGTATTGTTTTCTGAACTTCTTTTTCAAATAGTTCGCCATTAGTGTATAGAAATGCAACTGATTTTTGTATGCTGATTTTGTATCCTGCAACTTTACTCAATTCCTTTACTAGTTCCTAGATAGGGAAGTATTAGCAGCAATAGTAAATAGAGCCAAAATGTATTATGACAAATACAATAGAAGTTTATTTTTCATGTAACTGCCCAAAGTTAAGTGTTTCTGGTTGGCAGACATTTTAGAGTCTCAAACTCCTTCTAATCTCTCTCCCACCCTTCCCCTCTTCCCTATGATCTTGTTAATTCTATCCAACCAGCAGAATAATAAGAGACTGGCAGTGCCACATCTGCTTTCTAAAAACCCTGACCACTCATATTCCACTTTCTGAAACTCATGTAGTCTAGCTATGTGCCAACAAGGAAGAGGAAATAGATTTCTGTGAACCATTAGCAATCTCCTCCACAGTTAGTGTACTATAACTATTTTAATTACTTCCAGGAATTTGTCTTATTAACAGGTACTATGACTCTATTTTCTTCAATATAACATGAAATTAAATATGTGGGTAGAAAAATTTACAGCCAACATAGTAGAATTTATCATTAATTATCCTTGCCTGTCTAATAAGTTTCACTTTCCTAGTTAAGTGAATTTCTTTTGATCTCTGGTCATGGGAGATATTACAGTGGAAAGAATTACAGAGGTTATCTTCATAGTTTAGAAAGAACATTCCACTGGGGAATAAATAAAGGCAATTTAACAGAAAGCATTTGTTTTATAATCAACTTCCATAGGAAATTAGAAGCATAGAGTGCTTAAATTTATCATTGTGAATTACAACTATATTTATGTATTATATTTAAAATAGTGCCAATTAAAAGGTGAGACAAATTTAATTTAATATTTACAACTTATCTTTAAGTCCCAATTTAAATTTCAAACCAGTAATTGTTATTTATTCTGAAAGAAAATATTGCTTATGTGAAAATGAAAGTGACATATGTTGGTATATATCATATTCTTTGAACAACCAAAAAAAACGGTAGCTTAGCTTTCAGGCCTCTCTCCTTGGTGTTTTATTTTCCTTCTTGGTTTTTTCTTTTGTTTTTTTTTTTTTTAGACGGAGTCTCACACTGTCACCCGGGCTGGTGTGCAGTGGTGCGATGTCAGCTCACTGCAACCTCCGCCTCCCAGGTTCAAGCGATTCTCCTGACTAAGCCTCCCAAGTAGCTAAGATTACAAGTGCCTGCTACCATGCCCAGCTAATGTTTTTTTTTCTTTTGTAGAGACTGGTTTTCACTATGTTGGCCAGGCGATCCTTCTTGTTTTATACTAGTCACTGTGGGCCAAAATTTTAAAGACTAACACTTATGTTATGTTCTTAAATCTACTACATAATAATTTCCTTTGAAGAAATACAATAGCTTAAATTAATGCCCTTTTGATTGCACTGAAAACTCCATATGTTAATCCAAATGCATCCCACTCGTGCATCCCAGTCCTATTTGCTGAGGATGACTTTACCAGAGTTCAGCAAATATTTATTGAGGACTAATGTGTACCAGGCTGTGTTCTAGAAGTGGAGGGAATGAATAATCAATAATTATGAAGATGAATAATGTGAGATTCAGGTCCTCTAAGGGCTCACATTTTGTTTTGGTAAGACTAGCAGGCATTTCGCAGATTGTGATTGGTTCAATTATACGTTCAGCAAGAGAACTGAAACCCAGAAAGTTAAGAACAGCAGCCTGGATAAGTAAGACTTGTGAAGAGCCTTGAAAATATACTTTCGGTGCCTCAAAAGGAAGGGAATGTGTATTCCAGAAAGAGAAAGTCATGTTGGCAAAAGCATGGAGGCAGAAGAGTCCAGTTCATGTGCAGGGAAGGGGCAGGCAGAGCACAGAATCTATGGAAGGGGTACAATGGGAGATGAGATGAGATTGCCTTGACCATCTTCTTGAGACATTAATTTATGTAAGGAGCACATACAAACCACTCTTGTAATTCATTCTGGTTTTATTCATCAACTCTGATATATTTTTTGGTAAATCTTTTTAAATTAAAAAAGCAATGCATATATGGAAAATGTATAAAATGGAAAAGCATATTCAAAATACAATAAAAACTATCTGTAATATTACCAATTAAAGATAACTGCTATCTTATTCATGAGTAAGATGCATATTTACATGCTGGAGTAATATTTTATTCATAATTTTGATCCTACCTCGTTTACATGATATTTATCGCAAGCATTTTTCCATGACATTCAGAATTTTCCGAAGCATTTTAAGAAGCTGTATAGCATTCCATTTTATGCACGTGCTATAATTTATTTAATCACTGTCTCATCACTGTACATTTAGATCATTTCCTGTGCTCTAGCAGCTTAATGCTGAGACAGTATAGATAAAACTAGACTTTAAAATACTTCATGTTGTTGACTAAAGCACTGAAGCTACTAGAAGGACAGACTTCGTACCAAGCCTTTTTATAGTGTTGGAACCTGCCTCTAAGAAGTAGCAGGATGATATGTTCTGCCACAGAAAACTATAAGTAGCTGTGGCAGCTCTGTTCGTATAGAGATTGTTTTCCTTTTAGGTACCCCATATCATGTCTCCTATCACCATATAAATCTTTTAAAAAAAAGGTTTGTGTGTGAATGTGTAGAAACAATGATTGTAATGGAAATTAGATGCAAAAGATAGACAAAATACCTGGCAGTTAGCAGCCAAACAACTGTCAGTTACCTTCCTTTTCCTATTCCCTTTATTACATTAAATAATCAGAAAAATGCAAGCCAAAGGTTTTTTTTAAAGATACATTACTCAAGTACACAATTAAGCTGAGTCTGTAAGATCAAATACTCAGGAGTGAAAACCTTTTCCTTTGATCTATCATTTGGGGTTGCCTTGGCAATAAAATTGGATTGTACAACTGATCTGATTGATCATGAAAAAATAGGTTGTTAAAGTGAACACAAAATTTAATTAGTCTGGAAAAAGTTTGATTAAGTGACCTCATATTGACAGAGCCAGACAGTGCCATCAGGTTGTGTGGTTAAGAGGTTTTAAAGCACCATCAAATAGCAAACCTGTGTTTAAGAAACACATAGCCTGTTTCATGTAATTTTAATTGGAAGGAGTTACTGGCTTGCTCAGTTGGTATATTTTTCCCTTCAATTATCTATGTGGGAGAGATATGATGTTTCCTTACTGGCTAAAAAACTTGTATCAAGCTAAAGGGTGTTTCAGCAGAGATGGAAGTGGTTGTTATAATAAAATGGACTTAAAGTAGACAGTCTGTCAGGCATATGACACTCGCTCAAAGCCAGTAGAAGCCATCCATCAGTGAATTTTCTGGTTAAGACCCACTCAAAGCTATATCTGACAACTTCTCATTCAGATATATGAAAACTGTAGTATTGCATTTCTTTGTTTATTGGCATCAGTGAGCCAGTTTCACTCAAAGCAGTATTTCTTGTGATGTAGGTTTGTCAGTTAGCTTGCAAATAAATACAGAATAGCTATTTTTGCTGTCATCTTACCATTCCTGGCATACCATTCAAAGCTCATTTTTCTGAATAACCAGTAAGTGAGCTCATCAAAATGCATAAAGTCTTTTGCTTCACTATATTAATAATTAGAAAGCTCACAGTAAACTATTATACAAAGACACCATAACTCTCTTATTCTTACTGGATAGTTCAAGAAAATCAGATTTTTTCTTCTGGAAATAATCTTTAAGTAGATCAAGTATTCAATCTAATCTTTGCTATTAGAAAATGGCTCTGGAAGGCATAGAAAGTAAGACTTTCCTGGCTTTACCTTGATTAAGAGCAGTCTACTTAATAATGCAGAGCCAATAGATGCTTCACATCCATATTCTCTATCATATCACCTGATTTTTTTAAAACTCTGCTTTTGAAGTAGATATTTGATCACAATGTAGTAAATAAATGAATGTTTTAAGTAATTTTCTAGCATGTGTAGGAGTAAAGCTGGAAGTTTCTGTTCAGCCATGTTTTACTACAGTGGACTAATTTTCTTTGAACTTTTACTGAACTGAGCTTTAAAGTGAGGTGATGTCTCTTTCCTGAATTCATCTCTTTCTTCATCTGTAGACCTCATAATATTTACCTTGTTATCTGAGTTATTTATGATCATTCTGTATCTTCTTTATAAGACTATGAACTCTTGAATATATTTCCACAGTGTCTAGCACATTTTTACACGATAGACATTTAATAAATACTTAAATGAATGAATAAATACTTTTTCTCACTTTGTAGCACCCTTTCTTAAAAGGATTTCCTCCTCTGAACTCGAAACCAAAAAATGACCTGAGGGACTATTTCAAATACTTAACATGAATAAAACTCTTGTAAGTCTTGTATCTTACACATTGGTTATGTTGTGAAAGGAATAGAAACTGCAAAGATTTTTGAAAAGTCTTAAGGAGTTTCCAGAATTCTTTTATTAAATGCTTTGTTCAACTCATTCATGTATCAGAGAGAATTTCAATTCTATGTTAAACCAGAAATATTTATTTTAAAATATATATCAAAAGGCCATTGCAAATACTCCTTACCATTGTTGGCAACCCTCTGTTTTTGACACTCTTTTTTTCTTTAGTTCTGTGGTTTGACTTGTGATCTTCTTCCTACCTCCCTACTCACAATCCCTCCTATAGTTCCCTTTCCAGTCCCCTCAGTTTTCTCCAAGGACTGCCCTTACCTCTTTCTTGTCTCTCTGTAATCTCAACTTTAGTACTTTCATCAAATTGGGTCTAATTGTAGTAGCATCTTGCAGTATCAATTCTGATTAGGTTACCCTCATGTTTCCAGCCCTGATATCTTGTCCAAAGCTTCTGTCTCATTTTCTTTATATCTTCATATCATTCATATCATACTTCATATCATTACTATGTGAATCACCATCCTATCATATTATTATACTCAACATTTCTAAAATGAGATTCCTAAATGTTTTTAAATATATATTTTATGTGTGTCAAAGAAAAAAGACACATAGTTAAAAGATACCAAACAACAGAGAAGAATTTGGAATGAAAAGAAATAGTCACCTGACTCACTTCCTGCTCACTTTCCAGCACCCTTTCTTACAAGGAGTTCCTCATCTAAACTCAAAACCAGAAAATTACCTGAGGGACTATTTTCTCATAACTCCCAAAGATGGCATATGACTAGCACCATACCAGATATACAGGACATAAGTTTATCCATGCTTACGAGGGTGTGTTAGGGTTTAATTCTCTTCTGAAACCTTAGTTGAGATAAGCTGCTAGGATAAATAACTTAATTATTTCAATATGTTTATACCATTCTTGGTTTAATTGATCAATTTCAGACATTATCAGTAGAATGCTGGGTATGATAGATGAAGATTTATCTCTGTTATACCATCACCTGTTCATACTCATTTAATTCTAATATAGTTATATCACTAGTTTCAGTTCCTCTATTGGTTACCTTTTCAGACTTCAGCAATATATTTTTCCACCTTCATTTCGCATCGTATCAACTACAATGGTTTTTTTTTATTCCTCCCTATGAAATGTAAAGATGTTGGTTCTGCCCCTTACCTTCATCTCCCAATATCTTCTTTTTGTATTATGAAGGTTAATATTTAAATATCTCATGCTTTACCTATGGACTGTATATAAAATTTGAAAATCCATAGTGTTTATATCATTGTGACCAGCTAAATATTGTTTACTAGACAGACAAGTAGTATATTCCTTATTATAGGAATAAGGAGTTTTATACAGAAATTAAGATGCACAAATGAGGGAGGAGTTGGGAAAGTGAAGATCCTCGAGGTTGCAGCCAGAGGATTTGCAAAACATTCACTCATCACTTCAGACTGATGCACTAGAATTGGTAGAGAAACCAGAGCTCTTAGAATCACTGACACTGATTGCTATGACTTCCCAGGAATAATGGCTTCTGCCTTAGTTCTCTTTGGCAAATTTAGACATTCCACTCATTGTTGAACTCTAACACAAAGCCATACACAGGGAAAGGGCTTTTGGGAAATGTAGTCTTCAGCCTTAGCAATAGAAAGTTGTTGATAACAGCATATATTCCCTACAGCTTTATCCCAAGACACTTCCCTCCTAAAATTCTCCATGAATGGGAAATAGGATCTGAGCATAAGTATGACACAATCTGACATATATTTTTAAGGGATCTTCTGACTGCTATGATTCAGAATGCACTGTAGGAGGGAAAGATGGAATCAGGGAGATAGTGATAGTGAATGGACTGGAGTGGTAAGTATCAAGCTAGTTAGAAGTGATTAGTAGATTCTAGATATATTTGAAAGACATTACTAATAGGATTTGCTGATGATTGGATAAAAGGCATGAGACAAAAGCAAGAAAAAGAGGAATGAATATAAGGACTTTTGCCCAAGTAACTGATGGTATTGCCATTTTCTGAGAACAGGGAGACTTCAGAAGGAGAAATTTTGTATCCAAGTGGAAATGATGGTGATAAATTGAATATACAGGTAGGAACTAGAGGGAGAGAAGTCTAGAATAAAAATGTAAATAAGATACTGTACTATTTTCCTAGGACTGCTATAGTAAAGTACCACAAAACCACAAACTGGGTAGCTTAAAACAACAGGAATTTATTATCTCACAGTTCTGGAGGTGTCAGCAGAGGCGTGCTCCTGCTGCAGACACTAGGAAAATTATTCTTCCTTGCATCTTCCAGCTTCTGGTGGCCCCAGGCATTCTTTGGCTATGGCTACATAACTCCAGTGTACACCTACATAACTCCAGATGAAGAATGAAGCATTCTTTACTTCCCCAACTCCTCCCCCATCTGTGCAGACTTGATTTCTATATAAAACTCCTTATTCCCATAATACTTGTAGTGGCCCAATTTTCCTGACTGAATGCAGACTGAAACAGGAAAGTCTGGAGACCTGAGGATGTGGTGGAGAGTTGATTTACATTCTTCACCAGGCTTTCTCTGTGTTTCTTTTGTGTTCTTTTCTTACGAAAACACCAGTCACTGGATTTGGGGCCCATCTTAAGTCCAGGGTGATTTTATCTTGAGTTTATCACCTAATCATATCTTCAAAGACCCTTTCTCTAAATAAGGTCATATTCTGAGGTTCCAACTGGACATGGTTTTTTAAGGGACACTATTCTTCTGCCCACTACAGATAGTTTTCAATGTACTAGTGGCATTTGGATATTTAAAGCCTTTAAAGCCCTGGTACTAAATGAAATCACTAAGAATTTGGTAGCTACAAAAGAAAAGGTCTGAGGGTAGATCCCCAGGGAATTCAAACTTTCAGAGATTGAGAAGATAAGGTCTGCAAAAAAAAAAAAAAGACTAATATATAGAGGACATTGAGGTACAAGGAGAACTAAGAGAGAGGGGTGTATCCTTGCAAAGTGAAGAAAGTATTGTAAAAAGGAAGGAGTGATGAACTACTGATAGGTTTTTCTCTGTCTCAATTTAGTCCTTTATTTTACTGCGCTATATCATCAGTAAAATATTTTTAAATAATGCATGGAACATAAAACTTCTAAGGAACTACATGGCCTAATGGGACATTATGTTATCCTTGTTGTTGTGAAATTTGACAATTGTGTATTTAGATGTAGGTCTTTGTTTCATTTATTTGTGAGGCAACATTGTGTATGGGCAAGGGTTAGACCTCTGTTATCTAAAATATCTGGGCTTAGATCTTGGCTTTGCCCCTAAATAATTTTGTAAAAAAATACTTAAACTTTCATTGCTTAAGTTCACTTCCATTTAAAATGGGGATAGCAGTAATATTTCCTACCTCATAGTACTGCAGTCAGCATTAAGTGAGTAAATATAGGTAAATTACATAGAACAATAGCTGCCACATAGCCAACAACAGGAATTGGCTAACATATCTTTATTCAGTATGTTTGGGGACCCCGGTTGACCTTTCAATCTGAAGACAATAGCTTTGAGAAAAGTTCTGGACTTATTATTATTATTAAAGATATTTTTCTCCCATTGATTTTTGTGTATGTGTTCTTGGTATGAAATTTCTCTTTAATCAGAAGCTGAAGATTTTGGGTTGGTGCTCTTTGCTTTGTTTGCTTTTGCTTTTTTCATATTTTTCCTCTATTTTCTATATGTTTTACTTTTGGAGAGACAACTTCTACTTGATCCTCCAAGTCTTAACATTGCATTTTTTAAAGCTCCAGTTAGTATATATTTAATTTTCAAGAACTTTTTATTCCTCTCTGGATATCCTTTTGTAATCACTGTGGCCCTATTTTATAGATGAAATATTCTCTCAAATCTATTTGAGAATGTTAATTAGAAATATTTTTGGTTCTGTTCTGTCAATTATCTCTATTTCTTTTTTTTTTCTTTTTTTTTTTTTTTTGAGATGGAGTCTCACTTTGTCTCCCAGGCTGGAGTGCAGTGGCGTGATCTCGGCTCACTGCAAGCTCTGCCTCCTGGGTTCACACCATTCTCCTGCCTCAGCCTCCCGAGTAGCTGGGACTACAGGCAGCCACCACCACACCTGGCTAATTTTTTTTCTACTTTTTTTCAGTAGAGATGGGTTTTCACTGTGTTAGCCAGGATGGTCTCGATCTCCTGACCTCGTGATCCACCCACCTCAGCCTCCCAAAGCGTTGGGATTACAGGTGTGAGCCACCGCGCCCGGCCAATTATCTCTATTTCTTTCAGGTTCAGTTTTTCTGATACTGTATCTTGGCTATTCTCTTAAATGTTATAGACTTTTCTTGATTATCCATTGCTCCTTGATTTCACATTAATGTTTAGAAGTGAATACACAGAAAATTGATTTTGAGCTTTGATATGAGGATGGGCTTTTTTTTTTTTTTTTTGGCTTGCAGACTTACATTAGTAAGCTAAAAAAAGAGCCAGTTTTTATACTTCAAGATATCTAAAGACTGAAATGCAGGGGACTTTGATTCAAACAATAGCAAATTCTACACTGCTGCTTTAGTTTCCCACAGATATTTATTTCCCTTGCAGGAAAAAAACAAACATTCACTCTGCCCTTTGAGGGTAACTGCTTGCTTTCAGCAATCTGCTCATGGTGGGAGGAGATGAGTAGGTTGATTATTCATCAGTAGACTTTTAATTAACTCAGCTACTTCCAGCTCCATGTCTCATCTCAGCTCTACATGGTATTTCAAGACTCTTCAAACTACCCCCATTAGCCATATTATTAATCACTAATAATTATTAGTAATCAGCCATACCAAATTATCACATAAAGACTCTAATCTTTGGCTCCTTTTGTTCTATCTCTACCACTTCACCTGTATTCTATTTTCCAAGAAAATACAAAAATGTATTATACTTTCCCCTATGCTGCTGTCATTTTTCTTTTTGTCTTTGTTGGCTTTTTATACTTTTCTTTGTTCCTCTAACATAATGTTTATAGGGTTGGAAGTAAAAAAGAAGAGATTTTAAAATGTTTTCAGTCTTTCATTTTAATCAGAGGTGTTGATGTATTCTTTTTGTTTAAAAATACATATAATTAAACAGGTATATAAAAGTGTGTAAAATTAACACATTCTCTTCACCTATTGTACTCCATCTAATATGATAGTCTTTTGGCAAAAACATTTAAAGTAGAATGAGGAAGTATCATTTTACTATCATGTTATTTTTGTCTTAGTGTATGCTTTCAGACTGGCACTCCTGCCTTCATTCCCCTCCAACCCTAGCAGAACTCAAGTGTGGCATAGTGAGTGTTCCACTTACTTACTTGCTGTTATAAACAGACTATTCATTCGTCTATTCATTCAGCATGTGTTTATGAATCTCTAACCATGTGTCTAGTTCTTTTCTAAGTGTTAGAGATATGGTGTAAAATATAACAATTTATGGCCATTTGAAATTTACTCTTAGAGATAAACATTAAATTAATATTTATAAAAACTATTTTCAAACTACTGTGATATGAAGGAAATTTTGGAGGTGAAGGAAATGCATTATATCTTGGTTATGGTAGTGGCTAAGGTCAAAAGCCATGAAATTATTAGTGATTTTCTTCCTATATAAATTTTACCTCAATAAAGTTTATTTAAAAAAAGATAAAGTAATAAAACATTTAGGAATAAGTTCAGGCAAAATATGCACAATACATACATTCAGAAATCTGTAAAATATTAGAGAAATAGGAAATATATCATATGTATTGATTAAAAGGTACAATAATATAAAGATTTCAATTCTCCCAAAGTCGATATATAGAATCAATGAAGGCATCCCCCCCGCCAATTTCTTGTGTTTGTTTTGTTTTGTTTTGTTCTGTTTTGTTGTGTTGTGTTGCTGAGAAGTCCACCAACTAATAAATCTGAAATTTATTTGGAAGGACAAAAAGCCCAAATTAAAAATGCTTTTGAACAGGGGAGAAAAACAGGTAGGAATTTCTCCTGAATTAAAATTATATTAATTAAGTCAGTGTAATATTTGTGCAAGTTTAGGCAAAAAGAAAAAGCATAGTTATAGATGCTATTACAAGGATACAAAATACGAGGAGAATATGGGGGGAAACAGACAAATCATTAAGTAATAGGAGATCAAATATAGTCTCTGGAGTCCAGGAAAGCTTCCCCAAGGAACATTAATTTTAGTATGGGACAGATAGATGAGAAATAGTTAACTAACTCAGGTGAGAGGATGAGAAAAAGAACATTTTAGTCAATAGGAAAAACATATGCAGAGACTCTGTGAAGAAGAAAGAAATAATAAAATACTAAGACTCTAGTAACCAAAAGAAAAATCAGATTGTCTCAGTTTTCTTTCCTTTTCTGGTATATCTCCCAGACATGGAATGTGAACTTGGTCAACCTGACATCAACACAGGGGACATGAGAGGGAGTTGTACATTGACCAAAGATAAGCATTTAAGAAAACATGCTTCTTTATCCTTGTCTCCACTTTTTCCCGAGTTGAAATGTTTATAACCTTTTTCTTTATAAAACGTAGTCTCATAAGCTGGTGAGATGGCCTCTAGTCTTACCCAGTCCTACCGGCTTGACACATAGCTGCTCACCTGTTCTTCCCAAAGTGCAGCTTCCACATCACTCTCCTATTAATAACCTTTCAGTGGCTCTTGATTGTTCACAGAAAAAAAAGACATTCTTTCACCTAAATCCGTCTTACAAAATTGTATTTTCCTCTGTGTAATCAAATGATGAATGTGAACGTGTGTTGTAAACTCTGAAGGATTATTTTGGAGATGGGCATGGAATGTGCACATATTAGATACCTCTTACGAGCCAGTTACTGCTTCTCCTGTGAGGCCTCGTATGTTAACAGCAAACTATGAAGAGGGAAAGTATTATTCCTAGTTCAAAGAGCCAATGAGCTGCAATTCACTGACTTTAAGATATACACTGTGATATTCCAAAGCATAGGCTGATTCTGTTTGGCCAAGTGTTGATCTTGAAAGGCAGCCTACCATAAGGGAAAAAAGAACTAGACTTGGAGTTGAAAGGGTTCTGTTGTTTTTGCTGTCACCACCTTCTTGTCTATGACATAAGGATAAGAATATTTCATATGACTCTTGTAAGGATTAATCAATATGATGAAGAGATTATATCTGTGCATTTTGAATACCAGTCATTAACTTCCTAATTATGAACTATAAACTAATGAAAATAATTTTCTCTAAATATGCAATGTTGGGTGCAACTTGTGCAGAGGATTTTATGGTTTTCCATTTTTACTTACATATGTTACCATGTTGTATTTTCAAAAAATTCATGAGAAAATCAGTCTTCTTATATGAAATTTTAGACAATATTTTATACCCAAATCTTACATAGTCATTTAAAGTAATGTAATGCGTTTGCATTCTCAGCATTCATGCCTAAATGTTGAAAGCAGACTTCCCAGAAGCTCAACAAGAGACAGAGGGAAGTGACCTTTTGATTAAAAAAAATGTTTCAGATAATCTAGAAAGCAAATAACCCACATGTGGGTAATCAAGAGTTCATTGTTTTGGGGATCTTTAATTGCCTACTGTTTATCAATATAATTTAACTACAGTGCATGTAATGATGATATAGATAGAACAAGTGCCTATTTTTAAATGAGAAATGATGTCATATTTTTATTAATGATAAATAGTATGAAAAAGAGTACTCTATGTGACTGTCATTAAAAACAGTAGACTCATCCAAAAAAAAGAGATGGATTTCCTTTCCTTTTTTATCCAATATAAGAGCAGAAACTAATCAGTTTTCTTGAGAGTGTTAAAGTATAGGGTCTATTTTAGGTATGGATTATTCTAGACATTTGCACATTTTTTATTGTTCTTAGTTATTTTATAGTAGAAATAACTATTACTATGCATGAGAAAGAGGGTGTTTATCACTCAAGTGTCTCATTCTACAACTGCAGTTAATTTTACAAGAAATAATTTGTCATTTTCTAAAATGACCCTTTAAATGCTGCTGGCAAAAGCCATTGTCAGTTGATTGCCTCTGAAGCCAGTGATCTGTGTGGTGTTGTACAGAACAACCAGTCTTGTGCTACCATACCTGAAAGAGACAAAGAAAACAAGACACTGATGTATATGAGCTTGTTTTTTTTTTTCTATTCATACATTTTCCTTTTTTTTTTTTTTTGGTTTTTGTTTTGTTTTGTTTTGTTTGCCTGTTGGTTTGTTTTTAATGATTGCCTCAAAACATGTGTGCTTTCTAGGAAATCTACCCTCAGCAGTGCCTTTCATTTTTATTATCTAAGTCAATACTGATCCCCAGAGTATGACTGCTATTCATGACTGTTGTTGGATGGCTAAACATCTTTTGGATTTTAGATTCTCTGTGCTTTTGGACAGCATTTTAATACTATTGCTAGCTGACTGTTCTAAATGTGGTTACTGAAAATGTTCTAAGGAACTAGTTCCTTTCTAAGACAGAATATGTAATAAAATTATAAAACTCATGAAATTTACTCTTAGTTTTTTATATAATGTACCTACAGAGTAAAAAGTTAAGGTCCTTATGATTAAGACTAAGTCATATAAGCTTATACAGCCTATATTAATTTTTTGAATACTTTTATTTAGTTTGGAAAATAATGCGTTCAAACTTTGAAGTTCTTATACTGAATAAAATAATAACATTTTTTTCCCCAGGTCTGCTATTTTCTGTGTATCTGACTCAGTTACAGACTGTGAAGTTAGGTTTTAACTAACCTAAAGAAAGTACCCAAGAAATAAATTATTTGAACTCTTTTTTACTGCTTTGTGTTATTACAAAATATGTGAAACACAATATGAGCATACTTCAAAATATGTGTGCATTTATGTTGTAATTCATGTTAATGTCCTCATTTGTATATAGACAAAATATACTTAATTCATAAATTGTGGATCAGCTTTCAATTCTTTATTTACTAAGTATTTACTGAGTGAATAAGGATATGCATACCATCAAATCACTTACAGATGAGACTGTTTTATTAGATCTTTGGCTTTAATTAGAGTCATGAGCGAAAAAAACATGCCTTCTAGTGGGAAGTTTATACTCTGTCAATTCAAGCACATTTTCATTGTCTACTGACTAACCAAAGTAGAAAAATTTGCATAAACAAATCAAAATTAGTAGGAACATTAAAGTGTAATATGAAGTTATATATATTATCTGACTAGTTTTTTCCTTATTCTAAATGATAGCAAGTATATAATCTTGATCTGTGACATAGGTATCTTTTATAAATTCAGACGTATTTTAGATAAATTAAGGCATTGCATTTCACAAGGAATTACTCAGCAACTCCCTTTGAAAGATGAATAATTACCCTATATTGTATATTGCTGTTTTCAAAACTTCACTGTTTTTGTCATATTCATAGACCATTTATACCCATATTTACTTAATATTGTTTCTGTAATTTTTCTCATTTTAAAATTTTAAAGTTTTATTACTCTACTATAAGTCTCAGTTGCTACAAATTGAACTAATTCAGAAAAATAAATATGTAGCCATTAAAATAAAATATCTGCCCATTATCACCTACATACCATATCACTGGTGGCAGATAAATTGCATGTTTGGAAATACTGTTCTATATGATTGTAAATTCAGATTTTCATAAATTTAATTTTATTAAAATAAAGCACAATTTAAATAGATGATAAACTAACTGAGGGCAGAAATTGCATCTGTGTTGTTTATCCTTGTTTCCCCAGCACTTAGTTCTTGGTGCATAAAATGCATTCAATAAATACTGAATATGTAAATTAATGCATGAAACTTACACAGATGGTCCCTGACCTAAAATAGTTTAACTTAAGAGTTTTTTTAATTTATGATAGGTTGCTCAGAGTATTAAATACAATTTCAACTTATGATTTTTTGACTTACAATAGGTTTATTGGAAGGTAACCCCATCAAAAGTGTAGGAACAGCCATATTTACCTATTCATCTTCTATAATCCTATTACAAAGTAATAATTAAATAAGATAATGCCCAAAGTTTATATGAAAATACATTATGGGCAGGCACATGCTTGTATTCCCAGTCTTCAAAACACTAATTAATATAACACATAGCATTTCTATTAAACTTTATGGAGTATATTTATAAATCAAGGAAGTTTACCATAATGTAATTAAGAAGAAATGAGTATGAGGCAGTATAGGAGTGGGCCCGGTAAAGGAGTGACAAGAGAGAAATGAAGTGAGAAGTAACAATTGAAATATATATCTATACCATAGAAACTGAGATAACCTTATTACTATGTCAAGGTAGGAAGAAAGGACTAATTTGAAGGCTAAATATAATGGGAAAGTTGCTTCAGTGGAGAAAGTTCAGTTCCATCAAGAGTTACTTCCAAATTACCAGCCCTAGTGACCAAATTCTTCTAAAACGAATGACTCTAACCATCCCCCATATGGCTTTCTTCCAATAAAACTCACTTCTAAAGCTTAAATTCCAACCTGTTTTCTTTTGTCCATGCACTTAAGAAATGACATAATCAATTCTCTACATCATTGCGGTTAGAAGAAAAGACCATATAAAGCTGAAATGAGCAAAGCATTCTGAATCTATTTATAATCAGAGGTTCATCAGTTAGGGAAGCCCCTGAAGTACAAATAGACTATTTCACAAAACTTATGAGGCCTCAGTAAATGGATACAATCCACATCAGTTATGTGTCAGAAGTCAGTGGTTAGCCGATTTGGTCAGTCACAATTATTTTGACAGAATGACTGCCGATAGTAACTGATTCTAAAGAAGAGGCACCACAGAGGCAGAATCATTCATAGTTCAGAAATAATGCTGAAATATTACAGCAATATAAAATATTTTTTGCCTATTACCTAATAATCTAAGAGGATGCTTTGCATACTATTTTGCTGAAGGGACACTTGACCTATCAAGAAATAAATGAGTGATAGCTCATTTCTCTGATTTTTTTTTACTTATGTATACATTTATTCATTAATTTATCTCTTTCAACATTGAACTTCTGAAAAGAGGACATTTTATAAGAAAATGAAAGGAATATATGCTTCCAGGAATTTGGAGGGGGATGAGACTGAAATAGGAGGAAGTAGATTCTGTCAACTGAAGTAGTCTGTCTGAAGGGGAAAGGTCTCTAAAAAGCATCTTGCCTTACCTTCAACTTGAAGGATGTCATTGTGCCTGGTCACAGAAGCAGGGAATATGATTCAGGTGTCAGAGGCATATCAGAAAGAACCATCCTGCCTTGGCAGGTTGGAACCTTCGGCTATGGCATACGGCTATCAAGATGGGAGTGGGAGACATGTGGATATTTTTGGCAGCTACAATGGTTCAGCACCATTGGATCATATAGCAGAGTCTAAGTTAAGCCAAAAGATCCTGAAAACCAGGAGCTAATGAGAAGGAGACACTTTGTAAAGCAACTTCAGGGATTGCTTTTCCTCCTGTGAGCAAAGGAAGGTACTCGGATGGTGTTGGATGTTCTCACGATTCAGTAGACGAAACAAGAAGAATCAAGGGCTTTCAATATTTAGGAATAGTAATAAGCCTCTGGAGGAAATATCTGAGACTTAAGATCCATAGCTGTCTTTGTATAGTAGATCCAGCGTGATTTACTTCTATAAAGGAGCACACACCTGAATGTCAGGCACTGTGAACTTTTAGGTGACTTTGGTTAAATCCCATAATTTCCTTCTGCCTCCATTTTTTTTTTCACATGTTCAATGTACTATCTACATGGCAGGATTTTTTTGAGGGTTGAACGAAGTAGTATGTATGAAACACAGTAGAAAGTGACATAAATAATATGTATACTTGAACATGTGAAGCATGTTGATGCATGAATGCTATTGTCATCTATATTAGAGTGTCAACTAAGGTTGATTTCTTTCTCATGCCATAAGTCCATCCCAGGTAAGTAAGGAATGTGTCCCAGGTTGTCTCCTACAGGAACTCAGGTAGGTCTTTAGAGCCTCTGGAAATGGCTAGTCATTGTGATAGGGAAAGGGCATATGTGAATCACACACTGCATCTTAAAGGATCTGCATAGAGGTGACACTTATCACTCCTTAACTGGCTTAAGTGACACTTCACCTATCACGTGGCCATACCTAACTTGAAGGGCCTGGAGAATCATAATCCTAGCTTGTGTCTAGAAGAGCTAAAATATTGGTGAGCAGCACTAATGACCATCACATATGGATTCTTTCCATTTTCTACAGTGGAATACCTTTTGCATCAAAGAAGCCTTCTAGATGTTTCTCCTGTTACTAATAACACTACATTCTTTCTGTGTAGCTGTTAACAAACAAGTAGACTTTCTTAATTTTATATTTTCCCAGTTTCAAGGATTTGCTGGCATTAAAAATTTTAGTAGCCTTGTAGCAGAATATTCTAGTTTCTTTCAAAGAAGATAAATAATTTTATAAAATCCCTCTTTTTTTGCCAGACATTGATGAATGCTCTGATGGTTTTGTTCAATGTGACAGTCGTGCTAATTGCATTAACCTGCCTGGATGGTACCACTGTGAGTGCAGAGATGGCTACCATGACAATGGGATGTTTTCACCAAGTGGAGAATCGTGTGAAGGTCAGTACAAGGAGAAGACCTAGAATTTAAGAACTTCTCTTGAACTTGAGGAATATATCATAAGCTATAAATAGAAGACATTGAGCCAATGTTAGTGTTTTTACTATATGTGTATACAACAGTGATTGGAAATGTGTTAAAATCTAACTTTTTCTTGCTAATTATGGTATCTAATGTTATTTTTAGATAATTAAAGTTTGTGACACTAACCCAGTTTTCTGTGGATTCTTGCAACTGTTAAATGGTGTTTTTAGAATGAAAAAACATGTAGTATCACATAAATTTTTTAAAACGAAAGCATGCAAGCATCTGATCCAAAAACAGGTAGCAAAAATACATGAGAAAAGCAAGATAGAGGGAAAATGGGGATAGAGGAAATGCAATGATGATGTGGCCAAGGATGACATACACAATGCATGCTACTCAGGGCTATTCCTAACATAACACTTGCCTGGCAAAGTAAGAGATGTTTAGTGATTGTTGAATGTTGGATACATAAGATATGGTCCCTGATTCCATTAAGTTTTCAATCTAAGAGGAGTAGAAAATTCAATCAGATTATATTCAATTAGTTACCATTAATTTTGAATTATTTTCAACAGACTGACAAATCTGCTCCTCTGTAGCCTCTATTTAAGGGGCATGATTTTTAGAAACCAGGCAGACAGAGCAAGCAGAGCCCCATGAATAATTGTCAGGGAAACTACCCGCACTGAAAGAATTTGCCATCAGAAGTCTTGGCATAGGAATGAAAAACAAAACACAACTTGAGAACTCATTGTTTTCTCCATTTGCATTTACAACTTCATAGAGCCTGAGAGGATAATGGGGTTAAGATGACACAGTCAATGAAAGCTTTTGACAATCTAACCTAAAGATACTTGACACCTAAATGATAAGATGTTTTTTATCCTTGTGCCTCAAAGGATTTTCACAAAGAGACAAGTGAAACAGACTTGGGTGATGGATGCCAAGGCTTCTAGCCTGTTTTGCCGGCAGCAGACAAGCTCTGGAGCTTGAGCAGAGTTTTCATCAGGATTTCCACCTAGGAATGGGAATGCTGTTGCCTTACTGGGGGCTAAAACCTGGCATTTGCATGTTACCACTTAAATATGGTCTAAGGGCTTTATCTTGCACTGGTGAATGTTCCAGAGTGAACATTTCCAGCCCTGGAGAGAATGCCAGGAACCACAGATTATAGTTTCAAGACAGATCAGACATTGGAACTTTGTTCTTCCCTGATAAGCTACTTTGTTTGTATTTTATAGAATTTAATGGAGATCATCTTTTAAAAAATTTATGCACATAAAGAATGAATATAAGCTGATTATAAATAATGCAAATCATACAGAAGCATGTATATGGATTAAAGCTGAGTATGCATCTTCATTTCTCTTCCCCCCTTTCCCCATCTTTTCCACTCATCCTCTAGGGGTTACCTATGTTTAATTTGGGTTAGTATCCTTGCACACTTTTTTCTGTGCATCTGGATGTGAGTAGAAAAATACACATACCTCTGTTGACTGTGTTACATTAAGTTTGTAACTAAACTCACTGTCTTTCAAATTTATGATCACAAATCTCTAGTGGGTTGTATTAGTTATCTATTGATGCCTAACAAATTACTCTCAAAACTTAGCAGCTAAAAACAGCAAACATTGTCTCACACTTGCTATGGGTCAGGGATTTGTGCACAGCTTAGCTGGGTGGCTCCGGTTCAGGGTCTTCATGACACTGCAGTCAAGTTCTTGGCCAGGACTGTGCTCTTCTTATATTGAAGGCTTGCCTATGGTGGTAGTGGTAATGGGGGGAGTGGGAATCTGTTTCCAAGATCATTCATGTGGCTATTGGCAGATCTCATTTCCTTAATACATGGGCCACTCCTCAAGGCGTGGGAGCTTGCTTCCCCTAAAGCAAGCAATCCAAGAGCAGATGCCGAATATCGGAGCCATAGTCTTTTTATAACCTCATGTCAGATGTGACATTCCATCACTTCTCACACTTTATATTTGTTAGCATCAAGTCAATAAGTACATCCCACATTCAAGGGAAGGGGATTGCACAAGGGCTTGAATACTAAGTGGTGAGGATCACTGGGGCCATCTCAGAAGCTACCTACTGCAAGGGCCATCAGCACTGTCCAGCATTCCTACTTCATTTCTTTAGTTACGTTCCCTTCCAACTTTCCAATTAACAGCCATTTCACAACTTCTTAAGTCTCCTCAGACTTTGGATACTGCTTCCTTTCTCTTTATTCTCTGTCAATACTGCTTCCTTTCTTTTTATTCTCTGTCAGTGGCCTGCCTACTTAACTGAGACACAGAAGTAGTCAAAAGAGATCTGCCTCACTTTCCACCACGACCCGTACTCGCCTATTTATTTATTTCTATATATCTGCTCATTTATTTCTATATACCTGCTGCTTTTTCTCTCTCCTCTTTTATTGGAGGAAGTGGCCCTGCTCCTATCAAAAATCAAACTCATCATTGTATCTTGCATCTCATCCTCTCTCACCTATTTAAGGATTCTGCCCATATAATATTAATTTTCTCTTCCATATAGTTAAGTCTTTTTCAACTGCATCATTCCTATCAGTGTTCAAAGAGTCAGGAGTGGCGGCCATCTTTGAAAACAAAACAAAAGCAAACAAAAAGTAACTTCCCTTGACATCATCTGATTCTACAGACATATCTCCCAATTTTCTGTCCCCTTTAGAACAAAATTCCTTGAAAATATTTTCAATACTTGTTATCTCTGCCTTCTTCCTTCCAGTGACACTTTAGTCTCACTGCTCCAGCCAATGCTTTTCTTTCAAGATTACTAACAATTTCCACTTCGCCAAATTAACTGATCAGTTACTATCTCCTTGATCAGCCACTCAGGGATTTGACTCAGTTGATCATTCCTTTCTCTCGAAACATAATTTTCCTCACTTGGCTTCAGGTACCCCACTCTCTCCTGGTTTTTCTCCTTTCTCCTACAGGCCTTTTCTTTCACTCTCGCAAATGCCCCAGGACTCAGGCCTTGTCAGTCTTTTCTATCCATTCTCAATCCCTAAGTCAACCAGTTTCATGGCTTAAAATGCCGTCTATGTATCCCTAATTCAGACCTCTGCCCTGGCTGCAGATTCTACATCTAGTGGCCTACTAGGTAGCTCAACTTGGACTTCTAATAGACAACTCAGACTTAATACGACTAAAACAGAACTTTTCATTTACTTTCTAAGTCCTACAGGTCCCTTAACATAGTTGCCCAGAACTACATCTTAGAGTCATTGTTTCCTTCCTTCTTTTCCTCATATCTCACATTCCATACATTAACAAATCTCACAGTTTCAACTTTCAAAATATATTCCCAGTCTGACCACCCCTCACCACCTCTGTTAACATCTTAATCTAAGCCATTACTACCTTTTGCCTGAACCACTATAGCAGCTTCCAAACTGGTCTTCCTACTTCCACACCCAATTCCCCTAGAGTCTTTTTTTAATAACATTCAGAGTGATTCTTCTAGAACTGAAGTTAGATCATGTTACTCCTCTGTTCACACTCGTGGAGCCTCTCCACCTCTCTCAAAGCAATATGCAAACCCTGACCATGGTTGACAAGGGCTCACATGATATGCATCCTTTGCCTTCTTACCATTTCTAAAATATATGAAACAGATTTCTTTGCATGTACTGTCACTTTATGTGGAATGCCCTTCCCCTAGATCTTTGCATGGTTCTTCTTTCATTTAATTCAAATTTCTTCTCAAATGGTTTCTCCTGGACTGCTAATTTAAAATAGTCTCCCACCTCTGACACTCTATTCACTTACCCTGCTTCACTTTTTTTGATAGAAATTATAAAGTCACCTGAAATTATAGTATGTATTTATGTGTTTGCTTGCTTATTATCTGCTTTAGAATGTAAGTTTCAAAGGTCATAGTTTGTGTTTGCTTGTCAGCTATCATATCTCCAATGCCTAGAGCAGTGTCTGGCACATAGTAGATGATACATTTATTTGTCCAATGAAAAGATTGAGGTAAATAATAGATAGCTAATCTCTTCATTAGAAATGCATCAGGCACATAACCTATGTTGGAATGTAGATATTAGTATGACATATACTGGATATGTATATGTAGTTAAAAGTAGATACATAATAATGATCAGGATAAAACATAATTAATGCATTCACGAGTGTTCAGCCCAGAAAGTAACAAGGATAATTAAACTAAACATCAAAATAACACATTACAAATAGGAAGACAGCAAAGTAGAGGATTCATCTTCATAGGAAAGGCCTTTCAAGGAAACCCGCAAACATAGGAGCAGTGAAAAACCTTATTTAAAAAAACAAAAAACAACAAAAAAAAACTCTTCTGGAAAGATGATTCTACCAATAAAATTTATAAAGATTATCAGAAAAACCTACTACTCTGTCAGAGTACAACATGCTCTGAAGGATTCTTTTTTTTTTTTTTTTTTTTTTTTTTTTTTGAGACGGAGTCTCGCTCTGTCGCCCAGGCTGGAGTGCAGTGAGGCGATCTCGGCTCACTGCAAGCAAGCTCCACCTCCCCGGTTCACGCCATTCTCCTGCCTCAGCCTCCCGAGTAGCTGGGACTACAGGCGCCCGCCACCACGCCGGGCTAATTTTTTGTATTTTTAGTAGAGACGGGGTTTCACCGTGTTAGCCAGAGATGGTCTCAGTCTCCTGACCTCGTGATCCGTCCGCCTCGGCCTCCCAAAGTGCTGGGATTACAGGCATGAGCCAGCGTGCCCGGCATGAAGGAGTTTTTTAAAAGAACACATCTAAGTTATATTTTTTAAAAAAGATAAAAATAATACTTCTAAACAACTCTCCATTTACTGCGATTTCCGTGATGTGTAGAATTGTAATATTAGTATTTAGAAGGATTCATTTTAAGAGTATGATTATCTCAGAGAAGGTGCTATTTTTCTGTTGCTGGGGGAAAGAAAGTAGACAAAGCCACAATGGTAGCTTTACAATTACTCTGAAGTGTAAGACTCATACTTGGAGGCATGAATAAATAACTTCACTGTGTCATTACTTTTTAGGTTACAGTTGTGTGATCTACAACATACATGTTTATAAGCTGCATTCATACAAATTGTTTGCTGTTTTGCTCATCCATTTATCTCAGAGATTTAGACATTTCATCCTGAAGTAACAGGCCAGAGTCCTATTTTCCTTATCCATCCCCCATTTCCACTGTGCCTAAAATTTTGTCTCTGTCTGAGACACAGTCCAGTATCTTTTTCCACATAAATATATTTATGCCCACATGTCCCATTATTGCTTTAGTTTCTGGACAATCTTTAAGTTTGGTGAAGTTTTTTGAACTTTTGATACCAAAAAAATGAAGTTTACATGATAGTATTTTAAATATTCTGTTCAAGCCCAACGCTGTGATTGAGAAAAGCATTTGATTTTGAGAAAAAATATAAATGTCATGCTGTGAAGGAACAAAGAGAAATTATTTGCTCTTTAACATCAAGGAAGGCTTCTCAGAGTACCTAGTATTTGCTTTAGGACTTTGCTAAGTATGATGAGATTATTGCCAAGTCGAGATAGGGAAAATGATTGCAAACAAGAGGTAGCTCTAAATACCGTACTACGAAGTTTGAACATGCGTATGAAGGGCTCTTTTTGAGAAAGGAGGTGATGAAAGTAATCTGCATCAAACCCACATTTTGGCCCAATCCTATTTTCTGAGCCCCCCACACACATATCCAACTACTTACTGAACAGCCCTGGTGGAAGCCCAGAGGAAGTGCAATTCAGCCAGTCCTAGACTGAACACTTCTGCCTTCATCCCTCCCCATTCTTCTGCTCCGCAGCAAAATCTTGCTCTTCTTTCCATAAATAACGTCAACCATATTTTCCACGCCAGAAATCTATACATCGTTCTTGATCTCTCTTTCTAATCTTCAAAGCCAACAAATCACTATGTTGTGTTAATTCTCTCTGTTGTCTCTTTCTATGCGTCCCCATTGCTGCAGTGTATAGCAATGTCCCCACTGAGTCCCCAACTCAGTGTAGCATGGTACTTAAGAACACAGGCTTAGAGCATGATTGCTTCAGTTCCCATCTGGGCCTACTGGCTGTGTGGCTGTGTCATTTTGGGCAAGTTATGTAACAGTATTATGTCTCAATTTCCTGATTTATAAAGTGAGAATCAAAATTTAATTATATCTTCGAGGGTTGTTGTGAAGATTAAATAAATCATTATAAGGAAAGTACTCAGAGTCTGGTACATTCCAACCACTATGAGACTCTGCTTTTATTGTATGATCATCTTTTGCCTGAACCAAGGAAACAGTTATTAACTGGTCTCCTGGCTCCAAATTCTAATCCATTCAAATCTCTTTTCCAAAATGAACCCAAAGGGACCTGTCTAAAATGAAAATCAGATTGTGATTTTTTTTTTGCATTTCTCTAAAATGACATTTTATTGGCTTTATGAAAAAGTTCAAATTTCTTAACATGACCTTTACCTGGGCCCTGAGTAGCTCTTCAGCTACATGCTGTTTACTCTGCTCTCTCACTGAACATTCCAGTCATACCAGCACTTCTGTTTCTCCAGCACATCTTGATAGCTCTAGACGTTGGGCCTTCAAGCACGCTCTTGCCTCAAAAACACTCTAGACCACTCTTTACCTACTCTTTGCATGGCAAAATATTAATCATAGTATAATTGCCAAACCTAGAGAATGTATAGACAAAAAAAGAACCAGGAAGAGCTACCAGTGTGATAGGAAGCAAGTAGGGAAAATGTATCAAGGAGAGGGAGTAAGTTGTGTCAAATGCTCTGCTAGACCAAGTTACATGACAGCTGACACTGACAAATGGATTTAGCAACATTAGTTCTTCAATAATCGCTCACTAAAGGAGTTATCAATATTTTTAAAGTTGGAATTTGTGTATGCCATGATAGGTTTTTCAAAGCAGAATACACACCTTGTATAGATATTTAATTTGGGAATCTTGTTATAACCAAACTATGTGTAAAAATGGGTTCCAAAATTCTATACCACCAGTTAGTTGGGAAAAGTTTCTGCATTGTCAGAGCCAGTGTAGATAATAAGCAGAAAAGGCAAGCTGAGTTCAAACTAACTCAAACTCCTTGGATAGCAAGAGGTTGTAGTTAGTCCATTATGATGCATCTGCCCACACATTTTTCCAGGTATAACAAGTACATGCCAACCATCGTTATGAGCAACTTTTTACTCTATTTCTTTATTATAGATGTGCTTTATTTAAGTATACATATTCGTCTTGTGCCTGGATATCTCTTCTTTGTCCCTTGCAGCAATCCTGTGGAATCTTTCTGCCTATAAGGGGGAAAAAAGTATTATCTGATAACACAGCTTTTATTTTAAAGTGTCAAGCAAAATAAAATGATTGCAAAAATTCGGCCATTGCCATTCATGGAATAATGTCCTTATAGTAGACCATAAAAAGGCTATGTAGTAAGGATGTCTGTAGAGCTTGTTGTCAAAGAGACCAAATAACTATGGTTTGTTTATGTTTTTCTGGCTTATTATAATTCTTAATTCTAGAAATATGTAATGGGAGACAAATATCAACTCATCAGATGTACCATATCATTCCAAATAGACCAAATATAAAACTAGCTAATAAAATTTAATTTTTATTACAAAGAGAAAAATTTTCTCTAATCTGAAAAAATACACATTAACCATAGTACTTAATTTAAAAAATATATATTCTCATCCTGGCTAGCAGTTTTCTTTCTGATCATAGTCTACGATAATAAGTAATATTATCCTTAACAAATCAAGCTTAATAAAGCTCTGTAATCACTTTTTCGGCTATTGATCCAATCCATTAGTTTTGTTGAAGTGGGAACTAATAAAAATCAAGGCAAATAGAAAAAAAATGTCCTGTGGCTTACTTTCAGGAATACATATATGGCAGAATTTAAGTATATAAGAAATTTAAAATTGCCAAGTTTTTACTAGTCCAAGTCTTCAGTTAATGTTGAAGTCCAACCATTTGAAAAAGATATTTCCTAAACTTTATTTTTAAAATCTTCAAGGAGAATCAGTATACAGCGCCCTAGTTAAAAGCTATACACTCCATCTTGTCTCTAACCCACTTCTGCCATGATTTAATTCTTTCTTTCTTGACCTTTACTCAGAGGCAACTGATGAAATGGGAAATAACTACTTATTGCCACTCATACCATGTCTCTGAAATGTATTTTGGCTTGTGACCTTTAAATTACGGGGGTAAATAAAAATGAATCCCATCTCCTCTTATGGACCTGATCTGTGGGTCACGATATGTTTGCTTTTCATCTGTATGAAAACGCTTTAGGCTGTGATGGCCATGAAATAGGTGAGGCCAGGTGAAGTATGGGCAGTTGCCAGTTGAGTTAGACAGGGGACAAAATGATAATCTGAAATGGAAAAGTTAAAAAATAGTGGTTTCTTTGTAAGAGAGATGGTAATTGCTGATTATTATTTGCCCTTCTGTGGTTGAGAGTCAAGGTCTAAGGACTGTATGAAAATGCCTGGAATGCAAGGGAAGATCACCTAGGCAGAACAATGGAAAGAGCTTCATGGAGGGGGGCAGGTGCAGCCGCGAGAATAAGGCTTGATATTGCATAAAATGCTGCAGGGATCTCATGACATTTCATCTCCCACTAAGAAGGGATTTTTCTATAATCACCAGTTTAACACTGGGGATGATATCCCCATTAAAGTATCATAGGCACTTTTAGAATTTCCACTGCTAAACTGTTTTTGTTTGGTAAATTGAGTCATATTCTTACTCTCAAAAATAAAAATGTTTCATAAAGCCTAATGTTATTTACAGAGATATAAAAGTTGAAATTCTAGCCAAGGTTACCTGATTTTTTAAATCAAACATGATAATATTTTCCTGTGAAATCCCCAGATCATTAACATTGCTTTAGTCAACATTTAATCACAAATGCAAGCCAGTAAGATGAAAATTAATTTACAGTTGAATACCTTATGTCAGGAGACAACTGGCCTGATTGCAGTTGTTTGAAACTGCACATATTCTAAGCACATTGAGTGCTGCTTTTTCTTGTCTATAGATATTGATGAGTGTGGGACCGGGAGGCACAGCTGTGCCAATGATACCATTTGCTTCAATTTGGATGGCGGATATGATTGTCGATGTCCTCATGGAAAGAATTGCACAGGGGACTGCATCCATGATGGAAAAGTTAAGCACAATGGTCAGATTTGGGTGTTGGAAAATGACAGGTGCTCTGTGTGCTCATGTCAGGTTGGTATAAATGAAAAACTTTAATTAATTTTATTCAGTTGTAATTTGCATATGTTTTAAGTGTGTATATGGCTTGATGAGTTTTGACAATGTGTACATCCACTTACCTACCATCACAATTAATATAACAGAACACTTCCATTATCCCAAATGTTGCCTATGTTCTTTCCTAGTTAGTCCCACAACCTTAGATCCAGGCAAAAACTGCATCCAGTCCCTATTGATTAAATTTGTATTTTCTAGAGCCTCATATAAATGGAGTTTTATAGTATATACTATATTGTGTCTGACTTCATTCTCTCAACATTATGTTTTTGAGATTCAATCCTATTGTACCTATATCTCTAATCCATTTCTTTTTAATACCGAATAATATTTCATTGTATGGATATACCAATGTATTTATCTATCCACATGTTGATAAAATTTTATTACTAACCATGCTAATTTTTTCCTAGTCACAGTATCATGTTTGAATGACTGCATAAATAAAGTCAGAATGAACATGCTGTGATCCAAGAGTGAAAAATATTTATTTGGTGTATATTTCAGTTTTAGATAGGTATTCTGTTATATGTACCTAGTTATAATAAATGCTCAAATTATTTTCAGATGAATAATATTATGTACCAAGAACCCAACTGTCATAAAAGAAATTGATAACAGTTTATACAAAAACATAGGTTTTAAATACTCCAGAAATTTAGTAATATATATATGTTATTAACTATGAAATATTAAAACACATGTCCTCAAACAAAACAAAATTTAGTTAGTATGCAACTTACCATACTAATATACAAATATATACTTACGTATAAATGAAGACATTTATATACACAGTGGTTATTTTATGCTGGTCATTTCTGAAAAAAAATATTTTCTGGTCATTTGAGGAGTAGTATGTGGAAAGGAAATTGAAAATCCTCCAGCTTAGGTAATTTCTTTGTGTTAGCTAAAAAAAGAAATGCTAAAGAAAATTTATTATATCAGATAAGCAGTGTGAATTATTTCAACTTCCAAGTCACCATCTGAAATGTGTGTGCGTGTGTGTGTGTGCGTGTTACTGAGAAATGGAGGTTTTTGGTAACTGCTTTTTTTCTTTTTCATACAGAATGGATTCGTTATGTGTCGACGGATGGTCTGTGACTGTGAGAATCCCACAGTTGATCTTTTTTGCTGCCCTGAATGTGACCCAAGGCTTAGTAGTCAGTGCCTCCATCAAAATGGGGAAACTTTGTATAACAGTGGTGACACCTGGGTCCAGAATTGTCAACAGTGCCGCTGCTTGGTAAATTTAGCTACATGAAGTGGAAAGAAAATTTAGGCCCAGAATCTAAATAGAGAAGCAACCTCGTCCTCCCCATCTGCCAATACCTAGCACCAGGCCACAGTGTTGACAGTTATAAACAGTGAGCCTGGTTAGGATGATGAGGTGATAGTTACACGATCACAACCCAAGAAGGAATATTCTGAGGTAGATGTGGTACAAGGTGTTGAATAGTCTTTCACTGACAGTAATGTATGTCTCTTTCAGGAGTATCTCCATAGCTCAAAAGAAAAGACTCTCCTAGCTTCCCCATTCCTATCCTGTTTAGGCTAACTTAAAGACAAATATTGATAGAACAATGGCATTCATAAAAAAAATACTCTTTTTTCCAAGTAGAACTTTTGTTAACCCATTTCTGTCAGTTATGTTTAGACTTAAAAAACAAAGCAACTCCGCCTCCCCCACCACCGCAACCTTCTTTTTTTTTTTTTGAGACGGAGTCTCGCTCTGTCGCCCAGGCTGGAGTGCAGTGGCACCATCTCGGCTCACTGCAAGCTCCGCCTCCCGGGTTCACGCCATTCTCCTGCCTCAGCCTCCCAAGTAGCTGGGACTACAGGCGCCCGCCACTACGCCCGGCTAATTTTTTGTATTTTTAGTAGAGACGGGGTTTCACCGTTTTAGCCGGGATGGTCTCGATCTCCTGACCTCGTGATCCGCCCGCCTCGGCCTCCCAAAGCAACCTTCTAAAGATTGTTATTTTCAATGCTTCTGATGGGCACCTTGTTTTGCACATAATATGGATATGCAATAAATACATATTAGAATTGAATTTCTCTATATATTTATAAAACTTTTACTAGAAACAATAAGTAAGAAGAAAGTAATGACTTGATAAAGTCTTTTTTCAGTTGAACGAATTTCTTGT
Organism: Homo sapiens; assembly: GCF_000001405.40. Classification (NCBI taxonomy): domain Eukaryota; kingdom Metazoa; phylum Chordata; class Mammalia; order Primates; family Hominidae; genus Homo; species Homo sapiens. Next base: position 44,521,095 of record NC_000012.12, on the reverse strand, counting down.
TTCTAGTGGTGTAAATGAAAAGGAAAATTGGTCTATGTGTCTTTATAGCGAAAACTTTCACAGAAGATGCTACTTTTAAAGTTATGGCCAGTTTCTTTCTATTTGTGTGAGGTTATTTTTAAGGCAAAGCTTTTTTGTTCCTTCCTTTTTATACTTTCAACCCAAAAATCAATGGAAAGAGCAAGGTCAGTTTCTGTGCCCGAAGGCTGCTTTCATCTCCCAAACCATGAGATTCAGAATTATGAAGAAAATAGGAAACAGGTGGGAACTACATTTTTAAAAAGATCCAATTCACACAATTTTCCTGTGTGGAATTAAAAAGGAATGAAATCAATTCCTAGGATTTGTTTCTTTTTTTTTCAAAGTCTCTACACTGAAAAATATATAAATGAACAAAGAAAAACCATCATATTGCCTTCATATTTTAGTTTATTTTCTTGTAAATGGACAAAACATTCTTTATGCATAAAGGAATTAATAATAGGTTAGAAAAAATAGCAAAAGAATGAAAAAGATATCACATGGGCAAAAACGTTAAATTGAAACCTCTCTCCTTTGTCATGGGAAAGATAGGGGCATGCACATTTTATTGTTTTAAGATGAGTGATTTTTGCTTTTGTTTTATTGGTGTTATTTAAATCCTGAAGATTGTTTGAAAATCAAGCTGCAATACAGAATTCATCATTCTGATAGGGCTTTTGTGTTAATAGATTCCCTGAAAGATTCATGGGCTTTGTAGATCTAAGTTTAAATATCAATCAAATAATTGAGTATTCAGTAAACACTGTGCTCATCTGCTTTTTCCTGGCCTCCCTCCATTTCCTCCTCCCTCTCCCTCTGCCCTTGCACATCTGCTTTCCTTGTAGCAAGGGGAAGTTGATTGTTGGCCCCTGCCTTGCCCAGATGTGGAGTGTGAATTCAGCATTCTCCCAGAGAATGAGTGCTGCCCGCGCTGTGTCACAGACCCTTGCCAGGCTGACACCATCCGCAATGACATCACCAAGACTTGCCTGGACGAAATGAATGTGGTTCGCTTCACCGGGTCCTCTTGGATCAAACATGGCACTGAGTGTACTCTCTGCCAGTGCAAGGTAAACTCCATTAAATTTAAATAGTGAGCACTTTGCCAGCTGCACCCAGGGCTCATAGATAATAATGTGCTCTACCTGGACAATAGGAAGGTTTTTTTTTTTTTTCCTGTTTATTTTTCAAACATAGGTGGGCGGAATGCCACTCAGCTGTTAGTTCCAGGGCTGTCATGGACATCCATCTGATGTATATTCAAGGATAGTGCATGGACTAAAACCAGAATGATCCGTTATTTATATCACCAACATAGAAACAAGCTACTTAAATTGTCCTAGATATCTAACCGTACACATCTTTTAAAAAAGCTGAAACAACAAACCTCATGTTTCTTCTTTCATGATAGGAGACAATATTGTTTTATTGATTTTTAGCTGGTTCTTTTACAAGGTCCGTAAGATACATAAGTGAAGTAGATTTATTACATTTTCCAAAGTGGAAATCAATATGGCAAAGATGGGCATATTTCTTGGTTTGTTGTGGTCAGTTACATTGAGTTGAAACATTTAAGATCTGTTTTTTACCATATTTTATTCATACAGTTGGAGAAAAACCATTACAAAGCTCTTTCTCCTTATTCTCATTGGAAAATAGAGCTCTGTGCCTTTTGCTTCAATGAGAGCACAAATACAATGAATATAGGCAGAGCATATAGAGTTTGTAGATTAGTGACAATGTTGGAAGCATTCTAATTTGATTATTATTTCTACAAAAATTTAATTTTGTGGCCATTATGCTTTATAGTCATAATTTTGTAATCAACACTAAAACTAAATAAATAACCTGAAGGCTTAACAGTAACAACTAAATAGCAGACGTGTCAGATTTTTCTCAGCATAACATAGCCAGATATCTGTAACTGCTCTGATTTTTTTAAGTGAGCATTTCCATTTTGTAATTTTTTTCCTACAGAGCAATTTAATTCAGATTCACTTACTACAAATTCTTACCAGAGTAGATTGAAGTAACAGGACAAAGAAATATAAAATGCTTTAAGCTTTGAGATGCCATTTTTATCTATTTCAAGCTCAAATTTCTAGTTCTTTCAATCAATGCAATTTGTCAATCAAGCAAAGCTTTTTGAGTGAACATTTACTGCTGTTTTATGAAATGCATTAGCAAATTTAAAAGTTACTATTACTAAAAGTTACTAATAATGTATATGCGATGTTCCTTTAATATACATTTAATATGTGTATACTTAATAGTGCATATCTTGAAACTTAGCACTAATGACTAACAGGGAAATACTTTCTGTCATTTAATTACCAAATAGAGTTGAGTCCTCTTACACCCTTAATCTTTCTGTGAGATTATTCTTCTGAGCAATAGTGACAAAAATATATATTGAGTGATGGACAAAAATGAAATATAGCACAGATGGATATTTCCAGTAAGAAAAATGCATACAGTAATAGGCAGGAAAACAACTCAGACTGTTTTCTGGGGTAAAGAATTTGAATGAGGCCGGGCACGGTGGCTCACGCCTGTAATCCCAGCATTTTGGGAGGCTGAGGTGGGCGGATCACAAGGTCAGGAGATCGAGACCATCCTGGCTAACACGGTGAAACCCCGTCTCTACTAAAAAATACAAAAAATTAGCCAGGCATGGTGGTGGGTGCCTGTAGTCCCAGCTACTCAGGAGGCTGAGGTAGGAGAATGGCGTGAACCCGGGAGGTGGAGCTTGCAGTGAGCTGAGATTGTGCCACTGCCCTCCAGCCTGGGCAACAGAGCGAGACTCCATCTCAGAAAAAAAAAAAAAAAGTATTTGAATGAGTTTGTCATTCACTACCTTATAAACAACTACTATAATCTCTCAGCTTTTGATAGGAATATATTCCAGAAAGTGTATTTTGATATTAAAGTCATTTCTTTCTGTCAGATAAGTACTGATTCATAGAAGTTACTATTAAATACTATTTTCTTTATCTCTTGTTATTAAATATGAGTCATAAAAATATGCTCAGTTTTGTCAAATTTATCTCAAGTACTCATTTTTATTACATTTATTTTGTGTTATTTTGAAAATAAAGTTTATGCAAAACAAGCTTCAAGTATTGCATTAGAGGTAAGCATTCTTCACAATTTAGTGCTTTGAAAGCACTATTTTATTTATTATGTCTCCATTCTACTCCCCTCTGAGTTATTTGTTTCTAATTGATAAATACACACCGTGTGGGGCATTGTGCTGGTACCAGGTGTATAATGATAAGCAAAACCAGACACAGTCACCCTTGGAAATTATTCTCTATCAGCTTATTATCTGGCACTCTGTTGTTCAATATGCTAGTCAGTAGCCACATGTGGCTATTTAAATTTTAATTAATTAAAATTAAATAATATGAAAATTTTAATTTATTAGTTACACTAGCCACATTTCAACTGCACAATAGCCACATGTGGCTACTGGCTGTCATATTAGATAGCACACTGTGTAAGGCCATTCTTGCATTGCTATAAAGAAATACTTGAGCTTGGGTAATTTACAAAGAAAAGGGGTTTAATTGGCTTACAGTTCTGCAGGGTCTATAGGAAACAGTACCATGGTCTGCTTCGGGGAAGGCATTTCACATGGCAAGAGTGGGAACGAGAGAGAGAGAGAGAGAGAGAGAGAGAGAGAGAGAGAGAGAGAGAGAGAAAGTAGTTGGTGGGTAGGTACCAGACATTTGTAAATGTTGCCTTTATCTATCAAAAACTACAAACTTGAAGTTGTGCCAGTGGACCTCTGTTCTAACATTAGAATAGATAACTCGATCTAAGGAAAAAATACCTATAAATAAGCAATATTATAATAAAGCTTTTAATATATGATCAGGACTTTGCAGATCAATGGAGGAAGAAAACATTATTTCACAAATAATGGAATGACTAAATAACAATTTGAGGGAAATAACACACAGTTATAAAAATTATGTTACATATCAAAACAAATTCCACATGGAAAAAGTGTTAAATATTAAAATAAATTAAAATAAAGAAAATATAATTAAATATTTATCAAAACTCTAGAAGGGAGATACTTTTTAAAATTTATCAGTGATAAAATATACCTGAAAGAAAAGATTAGTGCTTCTATAGATACATAAAATTAGCAAAAAAAAAAAAAAAGTCACAACTACATACTAGAAAAACAGCTTCAGCAGATTTGGTTTCTTTGTTAGATTAAAAACATAAACATTAATAAGAAAAGCACTTACTGCTGGGTGCAGAGGCTCATACCTATAATCCCAACTGCTCAGAAGGCCCACTTGAGCCTAGGCGTTCAAGGCTGCAGTCAGCCATGATCATGCCACTGCACTCCACCTTGGGTGACAAAGTAAGACCTTGCCTCTAAAACTTTTTTGGAAAGCAATTATTTCCCCCATAAATAAATCTGCAAAGGATAAATAAACAACTCACTAAAAAAGTACACCTACTAAAATAAAAGAGGAAATCATTGAGCCTTTAAATAATTGAACCTTAATTGTAAACTAAAATTATAAATAATTATTTTCACATACTATAGTAAAAAAGTTTCTCCTAATAATTTCTAATGCTGACAGAGATATACTGGAATTATTATTTTTGTGCACTGTTAATATCATTAAAAAATACACAATGCAACACATACTATCCGCACCCCCATATACACACACAAATATATTGTTCTCTTTAATCCCAGGTCTGAGAATCTAACCTAAAGAAATAATCAAAGTATAAAACAAGCTATATACATGCCAATATCCATCTCAACATTGTCATACAGAATTAAGGAAGAAACGAAAATATCCAACAATAGAACAGTTAAATAAGTTATAGTAACTTTGTATACAATGCAATTATATGATGTGTTATACTTATATAATATATTCTAATTACATATTAGAAGATCATATATTATTATTCAGCTGTTGAAGTAATCACAATGCTTATAATAAAAATTAAGATAAAAATATTATGCACGTTGTGCACATGTACCCTAAAACTTAAAGTATAATAAAAAAAAGTACTGGTCATGATAATAATGAAAACAAACAAAAAATATTATGTATAATTACATATTCACTTTATTTAACTACAAAAATCTTGAAAATAAAGGAAATGGACTCTATTAAAACATATTGAAATATCAATAGTAATAGGATTAAAAAATATAAGTGTAGCTGAAAATTAAAAGTTGACTGTCTTCTAATCTTGATTTTCAAAGGTTAGCATGAAGAGTGGCAAGGACTTCTTTAACAATAAATATAGCCAAAAATAGCAGGGTCTTAAGGAAACTTATTTTACTGTGTCACTATATAAAAATAATTACTTTTTATAATGAGTTTTGATAGTAGGTGCTTATTATTCCTAGTAGTCAGACTGAGTTTCAGTGAGTCACTTTTATTTTCATTTTTATCAAGTTAATATTTATTATAGTGAAATTCACAGTTAAGTATATAGTTTGATGAGTTTGATAAATCAAAATACAGAATATATCCAACACTCCAGAGAGTACCTTTGGATCCCCTTTCAGGTAACACCTACTTTCAGTAGACAACCTTAATTTTATTTCTTTGTAATAAATTCATTTTGCCTGTTATAAAATTTCATATGAATTGAATTACACAGCTTGTACTCATTTATATCTTCTGTTGAATTGACCATTTTGTTGTTATGTAATGTCCCTCCTTATCTCTAGCAAGGCTTCTTGACTTGAAATTAATTTTGTCTAATATTTATTTAGCCACATAGTATATTGTTTTGTTCATCTACTTCCAATCTGTCAACGGTTTTATATTTAAAGTGCATTTTTAATAGAAAATGTATTGTTCTTATTTTTCACCTAGTGTGAAAATCTGTCTTTTATTAAAGTGTTTTGTTTATTTACATTTAATGTAATTTGTGACACTGATGGATTTAGGACTACCATTTTGTCATTTGTTTTCTATTTGTCCTATCTATATTTTATACACCTGTTTATCCATTCCTGCCTTCTTTTTCTTTAATAACATTTTTATTTTATCTAAATTGTTCTATTGGATTTTAAACTATAACTTTTCATATTATTATTGTATTTGTTGTCCTACGGATTATAATATATATCATTAACTTATTATATTATAATTAGGTATAGTATTATACTACTCATATAAAATATAAGAACTTTGCAACATTATGATTTTATCCCCATAGCTTTTGTGCTAAAACAGTAATATATTTTACAACTCTGTTCACTATAAATCCTACAGTTCCATGTTATTATTTTTGCTTTAATAAGTTTTATGTCTTTTGAAGAAATTAAGAAAAGAAAAATGGTATATTTTATATTTATTCACATATAGTAATAGCTCCTTTTTCCACAAGGGATATACGTTCCAAGACTCCAAGTGGATGCCTGAAACCACAATATACTGAACCTTATTAAACACTATATATACTATGTTTTTTCTATACATACCTACAATAAAATTTAATTTATAAGTTGGCACAGTAAGAGATTGACAACAATAACTAATAATAAAATATAATTATAATAATATACTGTAATAAAAATTATGTGAATGTGATCTCTGTCTCTCTCTCTATCTCTCTCTGTCAAAATGTTTTATCATACATTTTACTCACTTGTTTGGGCCATGGTTGACCACAGGTAACTGAAACTGTGGAAAGATAAACTGCAGATAAGGAAAGACTACCGTATTTACCATTTCTGGTACTCTTCATTTCTTCTTACATATTGGAGTCTCCATCTGGTTACATTCCCTTCAGCTTGAATAACACTCCTTAGCATTTTCCTTATTGCAGGTGTGCTAGTAACAAGTTCTTTCAACTCTTATTTATCTGAAAGTGTCTTTATATTTGAAGAATATTTTCACTGGACATAGAATTCAGGATTGACAGATTTGTTTCCAGAACTTTAAAGGTGATATTCTATTATTTTCTAGTTTCCATTGTTTCTGATACAGTGATCATTTGTTTTTTTATTCCCTTGTATGCAGTATTTCTTTTTTCCCCTACTTTTTCCTTTCATGATTCTCTATCTTTGTTTTTAGTAGTTTGACTATGATGCACTTAGGTCTAATTTTTTTTTTTTTTGGTCTTTATTTTCTTTGGTGTTTGCTGGGCTTTTTGGATATCTAAGTTGATGTCATTTCACCAAACTTGAGAAAAGTTGAGCCATCGTTTTTTCACATATTTTGTCTGCCACATTTTTTTCTCTCATAGTTTTCTGAGACTCCAATTAAACATTCGCTTAGATGGTTTAATTATCCTAAAGGTCACTAAAGTTCTATTTTTATTTCAATATTTTTGTCTTTGTTTTATGGATTGGATAATTTCTATTGCTTTGTCTTCAAATTTACTGGCTTTTTCTTCTGCCATCTCTAATCTGCTATTAGGTTCATCCAGTGAATCTTTTCATTTCAGATATTGCATTTTTCAGTTCCAGAATTTCCACTTAATTTTTAGTAGTTTAATTTCTCTGCCAAGTTTTACCATTTATTCATTCATTATGACTGTATCTTTTAACATTTTTGAGCATATTTATGATAGATACTTTCCAGTCTTTGCTAATTACAACATCTGGATCATCTTCGAGTCATTTTCCATTCACTGCTTTTTCTCTTCATTAGGAGCCACATTTTCCTGTTTTTCTTCACGTCTATTAATTTTTATAATATATTGGATATGATGGATGATATGTTTTATAGATCATAGGTTCCATTGGCTTCTTGTGAAGACTGTTTTTGTTCTAGCAGGTTGTAAATTATTAGCCAATAACCTAGCACTTATTAGAGGTTGGCTTTACACCAGTTAGGGGGGGTCTGTTTCAAATTTACCTTTAGTTTTAGCATGAATCTCTTAATCTGTAGGTATTGTTTTACACCTAATCATGGCCCTTTTAGGCCTTCAATGGAAAGCTTGGATTATTTGGTTTTTCCTTTTATGTTTGGTTGACACATAGTGGTTGCACATATTTATGGGGGTACAGAGTGTTGATACATATGTACAGTATGCAATGATCAGGGTAATTAGGGTATTTTTTACCTCAAGCATTTATTACTTTGTGGTGGGAACATTCAAAATCCTTTCTTCTAGATTTCTGAACATATACAATAAATTATTATTAATTATATTTATCCTACAGTGTTATAGAACACTAGAACTTATTCCTCCTATCTAGCTGTGTAATTTTGTATACTTTAACCAACATCTTCCTATCCTCCTCTCCCCTATACTCCTCCTAGCTTCTGATCACCATAATTCTTCTTCTATAAGATGAATTTTTTAGCTCCAACATATAAGAGAGAACATGTAGTATGTATCTTTCTGCACCTGGCTTATTTCACATAATGTCCTCCAAGTCTCATCCATGTTGTTGAAAATGACAAGATTTCATTCTTCTTATGTCTGGATGGTATTCCATTGTGGATATATGCCACATTTTCTTTGTTCATTCATCTGTTGATAGACATTTAGGTTGATTACATATCTTGGTGATTGTGAAAAATACTGCATGGGGGTTCAGATATATCTTCAATATACTGATTTTTTTTTTCCTTTCAGTAAAAACCCAGTAGTGAGATTGCTGGATCATATGTTAGATCTATTTTAGTTTTTTGAGAAACTTTCATACTGTTTTTTATAATGGCTCTACTAATTTACAGTCCCACCAACAGTGCACAAGGGTTCCTGTTTCTCTGCATCCTCACCAGCATTTGTAATTTGTTCCTTTTTAATAAAAGCTGTTCTAACTGGAGTGAGATGATAGCTCATTGTGGTTTTGACCTGCGTTTCCCTGATGATTAGTGATGTTGAGCATTTTTAATATATGTGTTGGTCATTTGTATGACTTCTTTTCAGCAATATCTGTTCAAATCCTTTGCCCATTTTTAATTGGATTACTTGCAGTGTTTTGCTGTTATTTGAGTTCCCTGTACATTCTGGGTATGAATCTCTTGTCAGATGAATAGTTTGCAAATATTTTCTTCCATTCTGCAAGTTGTCTCTTCATTCTGTTGATTTTTTTCTTTGCTGTGCAGAAGCTTTTTAGTTTGATATAGTCTCATTTATCTATTTTTGTTTTTGTTGCCTGTGCTTTTGTGGTCTCACTCATAAAATATTTGCCTAGACCTGTGTCCTGAAGCATTTGTCTTATGTTTTCTTCTAGTAGTTTTATAGTTGCAGGTATTAATACTACATGTAAATCTTTAATCCATTTTTAGTTGATTTTTTATAGGTGGTGAGAGATAGAAGTCTAAGGAAAACTTAAACTGTTTATCAATCCTTTATATCTTAGAAGGACACAGATCTGACGCACTGCTTCAGTGAGCAGCATCTGAAAGCTCTTCTCATATCTTTCAACCTTCAAACTGTGGCTCTCTTGATTTGCTCTTTAGAATCTCTTCTGCAACTCAAAGATCAGCCAAGGATTTAAAAGGAGTTTGTTTACTGATTCACTTCTTCTTTTATAGATATTTCCCCCTCAATTTCCAGCCACTCTGACAACTCCCAAGCTGTCCTCTGACACCTCAGTGAGATTGTGGCTTTCTGCTTTCCTTATAGTTATCTCAAGCTGCACAGACTGGGGAGTGCCCTAAGGGGGAATACCAAGTGAAAACAACACTCACACAGTACATTTTCCTTCTTTCAAAGATTGAAACTGCTGTAGTGTCTGCCTGACACTCTCTATTGCTTTCAATTGTTATTTTTGTATTTTGTTCAGACTTTATAGTTGTTATCTATAGGAGGGTTAGTCTTATATAAGAAACTATGCTATCAGTAAAACTGGAACCCAAGTAGGATGCTTTATTAGTTGTCCATGCTTCCCTAATTAAGGAGCTGCCATTGATATGGTTTGTAGAATCCTGTTATAGCAGAACATATCCAATATGGAATAAGCAACACACTCCTGGAAGATTTTAGAAAACAAAGAAACCCTTCCTAAGACATACTTATGGGTGCAATATTAATGGTTTCTTCCCCATAGGGTTCTAATGCTAATTGCACATACTCAGTGATGGAAAGCTCCAGAAATTCCCTAATTATATTTCTGCTCCAAAGCCATATAATTTGAGGAGCTGATATTCCCAGGAACTGGTACACCCATCACTTTGTTGGGCCAATGAATTAAGAAAGATTGTGTGACCTGGTTATGGTCAGAAAACCTGTGCCTCTGAGCCGGCACCTCAGAGTGGCCTTTGTCAGACAGGAGAGGCAAAGATGGTTCCAGCCTGGGGCATCTTGGAGATTCTAGGGCACAGCTGAGTTCTACAAGTCTCAATCGAACAGTTCTGTCTCTAGGAATATGTTAGGGGCTGGAGATATGATGACAAAACTTTAAAATGCCACTAGGGGTCTAAGAAATGGTTGAGTCTGTCACTGCCAGAATATGAACTCAGCTTAATAATAAGTTAGAAAAGATGCAAATAAGTTAAACTGATAATATTCTTCTTGGATATATACTGGCTTTTTCCTCATCAGTGTGCTTTAGCAAAGGCTAGACTATCAAAATCTTTTCAGGTTTCCTTTTATAGAAACAAAGACACTTTCAGTTTTTATCATATTAAAGTATAATGCATTTCAATCATCAAAAGCCAATTTTCTGAGAGAAACTATATAATGGAGGATGTATTTTAGAGTCAGGCTAGCCTGAGTTTTAATCCTAGCTCTACCATTTACTAGCTGTGTGATTTTGGACATGATATTTAAGCTTTCTGATCTTCAGTTTCTGAATCTAAAACGTGTGACTATTAATAGGAATCCAACTGGGAATGCTGTGCGGTTGAAATTAGATAATGTATTTTAAATGCCTGGCAAAGTGTCTGACACAGAGTACACACTTAAGGAATGGAGGGATATTATCATCATCACGGTTTTAAAAACGATATTAACATTATCTATGAGTTAGCTGGTTGAGAAAAGTAAGAGTGCAGGGAATCAAAAGAATAGGATAGAAGGTTTTTCTTCTTTGTACAACACTATATTGTTTTGATACCTTATATCAAAAACTAATTATGCATATCTGGCCCTTCCCTGCCTATTTATCCTATTTCATCACCACAGTTTTCTTCCCTAACTGAAAATTCTTACCCAAAGCTTTTTTTCAGTTTCTTAACTACACAAAACTCTCCTCTGTGCGTTTGGCCACCTTTTCATGCAGTCTCCAGGTCTCGGTTTAAATATCACCTCACAGAACAGTCTACCCTGGACATTGACTAAGTAGCTAGTCTTTTATTAATCTCACACAACCACCTAGTGTATTTCCTTTTGTCTTAGTCAGTTCAGGCTGCTGTAACAGAATACCATAGACTGGGTGGCTTAAACAACGACAATTCATTCCCCACAATTTTGGAGGCTGAGAAATTCATTTCTCACATTCCAAGATCCAGACCCTGGCAGATCTGGTATCTCCAAGGACACACTTCCTGTTTGCAGATGGCCATTTCTCATTGTATCACATGGTAGATAGAGAGAGAGGACGCATGTGTTCTCATCTTTTTGTAAGGGCACTGATCCCATTCATGAGTGCTCTACCCTCATTCACTAATTACCTCTCAAAGGCTTTACCTCCTAATACCATCACACTGGGGATTAGGATTTCAACATGTGGGTTTTAAGAGGATGCAAACATTTAGTTCATAGCACCTTTCTAGCACTTTTCACAATTTTTGATTATATGTTTGCATGGTACTTACTAGTTTTCTCCCTAGATAAACTGCAAACCCTGCTCTGTGAGGTTAGTGACCATGTCTGCTTTATTTATTAATATACTTAGTGCTTACATAGACTTAGTACATATTTTGCAAATAAATGAAAGAACAAATGTGATACAGAGGATGCCAATGAGTAAATAAAGCCAGTTTATGACTTCCCACAAATACAATGGGCATAATAATTGAGTCTGCAATAGTAGAGTCATGAAAAGTGATTGGGCCATTGAATTTTTAGGAATGCAGAAATAAATTATACAGTTTTGTTTGTAAGTACCAATCAATAAATGTGATCATTTACTAATGGCTTAAAAATTCATACTGTTTTTCTTTCTACTTTTTTTAAATCTAGAATGGCCACATCTGTTGCTCAGTGGATCCACAGTGCCTTCAGGAACTGTGAAGTTAACTGTCTCATGGGAGATTTCTGTTAAAAGAATGTTCTTTCATTAAAAGACCAAAAAGAAGTTAAAACTTAAATTGGGTGATTTGTGGGCAGCTAAATGCAGCTTTGTTAATAGCTGAGTGAACTTTCAATTATGAAATTTGTGGAGCTTGACAAAATCACAAAAGGAAAATTACTGGGGCAAAATTAGACCTCAAGTCTGCCTCTACTGTGTCTCACATCACCATGTAGAAGAATGGGCGTACAGTATATACCGTGACATCCTGAACCCTGGATAGAAAGCCTGAGCCCATTGGATCTGTGAAAGCCTCTAGCTTCACTGGTGCAGAAAATTTTCCTCTAGATCAGAATCTTCAAGAATCAGTTAGGTTCCTCACTGCAAGAAATAAAATGTCAGGCAGTGAATGAATTATATTTTCAGAAGTAAAGCAAAGAAGCTATAACATGTTATGTACAGTACACTCTGAAAAGAAATCTGAAACAAGTTATTGTAATGATAAAAATAATGCACAGGCATGGTTACTTAATATTTTCTAACAGGAAAAGTCATCCCTATTTCCTTGTTTTACTGCACTTAATATTATTTGGTTGAATTTGTTCAGTATAAGCTCGTTCTTGTGCAAAATTAAATAAATATTTCTCTTACCTTATAACACATGTGAGTCTGAGTATCTTGTTTAATATGTTCCTCTTTTCCACAGATGATTCTATAAAAATTGCATTCTAGTTCTGCTGATGATAAACTCCTGCTATGTTATTTCTAAATTGAAAGTTGCTATTTCCAAATTTCCAAATTGAAAATGATATGCCTAAGTAAGGGATGTGATGGATAACTTAGTTCTTCCTCTCTAGATCCTCAATTTCACCCTTTCTACCCTGCTGTGCATCCTGGGGTGGCTGACCTATACAGACCCTAATAGTGGGTTCCTTTTCCTCTTGATTCTTGTCTGGTTTCAATTATACTGCAGCAGGAAACACAGCTGGCATATTAGGAAGAGGTCAAGTTTGGATATTTATTCCGCTGGCTCCCTTCCTGCCTGGCCACCGCCATGATTTGGTGTGTCACCTTACTGAAGGTTATATCTCTTGAAAGGTACTCCTCTCTGTCTCACTGCCTCACCAGGTTCTGATAACTTCTACTGTTTGCATCTTCTGGCTTAGGGATATTAACAGCTCTGGCTATTCTGTCCTTGGGAGGTAACTGTTCAATCTTGTTTTCTCTATTTCTAGGCATATCTTTATAAATGGTCCCTTTGTTATACTCTTTAATTAGCCAGCTTGAGTGTGCCATCTGTTTCCTGCCAGGATTCTAACTGATACACATAAGGAGAGCAGTATGTGAGGTTGAGAATGTCTTCAAGAATTGGTCCTTCACGTTTTGATATAAAATTTTTAAAAATATCAATGTTAAAAGATATTATGATATTAATTACATGTTAAATATTTTGATGCACCAGAATGTCAGAGGGGATAAAAGTAAACATCCTGAAACTCAATAAAGGAAGCCAATCCAATATTGCCCTGTTATGTTTTACACTAGGGTGAAAAGGAAATATAAGTATTGTCAAATTAATTTTCGATGCATAGAGGCATTTTTTAAAAAAAAATTAAAATGAACACAAGGTGACCACCGCAAGCTACAGAAATGATAAAGTGGCTTTTAACTGTTCACTCACTATTGCTATGGAAACAACCTAGCACGAGCTGAGTTGAAAGATAATTCAAAAATGTCTTCATAGTTTGGCATGGTAATATTTATTGAATGTGTAAAATCAAGTAGCTATATTCCCTGAATTTATCATAAATGATTTTTCTGTAGCCTTTTTATGTTTAATTTAATTTAATTCAACAGAGCATAAGGTTTATTTTTTGTCAGCTGTATTACAATGGTAAATAGCAATTTAGCTTCCAAGAAGATATCTGTTAATTTGAAGTTTTTTCAAGTTATTTTTTCCTTATATAGCTTTGTGATTTCATATTGAATCCTCCTGAAAAAGTATACTTTACTCATTTTTATAAGAGAGTAAGAAATGTGTGTAGGAAAGTGTGTGTGTGTGTGTGTGTGTGTGTGTATACACCCATATAGATACATATTTGTCATTTAGATATGTCCTTCTGGAAGGAGAAGCAAGGCTGGAATTTTATATTACAAATCCTTTGGAAATCTTTGTAGGGCTCTGGGCATATTGGTGGCTTGCAGATCCTTGGTTTCTATAGGCCGCTGAGTGAAAGAAAACTCATAGTTAAGAAGAAAAGAAGGAAAATACAAGACTATGATAATTCAACGACTATTAAAGCAACACATGAATTCAGATTGAATTTTTTTTTCTTCAAGGTTTACTCCACAAATAGTAGATTCCCCAGGAGAATTACTGTTTCATGTGCAGGCCCTGGGCAAGCAGTAATCAATTGTTTCTTAAGAACTTTGTTCCTTGAAAAAGGGAAGGTTAATACCCCATTTCTCACTCTGATGATAATTGGCAGAATGCCATGGCTGAGTTGTGCCAATATTAAGGGAAAGTGAGAGCTAAGAAGCATGAATTTATTTTGAGGGTGCTTAGCTCCTTTAAGGGCAGGCCTTGGTGAAAATAGTCTTTACTCCATTTTCTTTATTTCCCCTTTTCTGCAAAAAAAAAAAAAAAAAAAAAAAAAAGAATATTTCGCTATGATTCTTTGGTTTAGTAACCTGTATAGTTTATCTCCCTTTTTAAAAGACTGCCATATTGCTTTTTTTGGTTTGCCTTATATAATGGTAAAAAGAGTCATGCATTTGTTCAATTATACTGCAATATCATGGAACCCTTTCATCCTTCCCATAACTTGGTTATCTATAGCCAAAGTTGAAACACCCTGTAAATTGCCTTTACAAAATGAATGGCATATCAAAGCTCTAAAACAGCAGTCAATACTCTTGAGTGTTGGAGTAGCGGAAGTTATTCAGTTGAATAAAACTGAGGTTACATCTACTGAATAAAATATGAGCTTCAGTTCACTAAGCATGACCTCATCTATCAAAGCTCCACATTGCTGACTAGTTAGGACTTCCTCTGAAGGTCGGCACATCCCACAGATACCTGCATGGTCCCAGTCCTGTTGATGTAGGTAGCTTAAGGATTGACAATACCAACTGTTCTTAAAGAAAGACTTTTTATTTTCCATTTTTTCAAATGTAGAGTGTTGTAGCTCAACAGTAAATTGATCTCTTGAGAGAGTCATGCCAAAAGCATCCCTGAAGACAGTAAGTGGATGCTGTGCTCTGTACCCACTTTGTTCACTGTGGTACCTGGACACTCCCTGTCTGCAGTCACCATTGCAGTGGAGTTGGCTCCTTGTGGTCTTACTGACATTTCATTACTGCACAGTTTTCTACCCTAGAATTCAACATTTTCCATAAAGGAGTTGTCACCTCTTTGCAGAATAATTGCCCTTACTTAATAGACCTGCAGGTAGAAAGTCAGGAATTCCTTGGGCTACAGTAGCTCCGGATTGGTGGTGACATAAGTAGGCAAGGAATAGAACTATTGGAGAAGTTTGGAACAGGATAATCTGAGTTGCAGTTTCTTATATTCTCTCTACTTGCCAGGCTGGGACAACTCCCCCATATCTTTTGTCTTTGTATTTGTATTAAATAATTGTTCACAGAGATTGTTTGCATGACAGAGTCTGAAATTTTTATTTATTCCAAATGATGGATGGCACGCTATGTTACTGCCACCACCAATATATTGCATTTAAAACATGACCTCTTATTTATCTCCAATGTTAGGTGTTTTAGAAAAGCAGCCTGAAATAAGAGTATAATTCTATGTAAAAGCAGAAATGATAGTGAGTTTATTTTTGAGGCTTTTTCTCTTTCTTTCACAAAACCACAGCCATAGAGAAAGAAAAGAAAAATAATGAACAAAGTATGTGCAAAGCATAAGCATTCATTTATTGCTGACTCATAAAGTACATGTCCTAATGGAGGAGAAAGAAAATCAACAAATAAATAGATACCATTTCAGGTGGTGATAAGAGCTAGAAGAAAAGTTAAGCTGGCTTGGGATACTGTTGTGGAGAGGGGTGATCATTTAGGTTGGTTGGACAGGAAGTCCTCTCCACAACAAAATAGTATTGGGGCAAATACTTGGATGAGGTGACAGCATGAGCCATTTTCATACCTGGAGCCATTTTCATACCTGGAGGGAAGGAGTTACAAGCAGAGGGAACAGTGTGCACAGGTCTGAGGTGGAAGCACACCTACATGTCTTGAGTGGAATGAGAACGTGGAAACATGTAGAAGATGCTGTCAGAGGAGTGACCAAATCAGGTTCTCCTAGGCCATGGTTAGCGATTTGTGTTTTTATTCTTAGTGACATAGGAGGCATTAGCGAGTTTTGAGCATAGCTGTGCTATAATATGACAGGTAAAATGATCTGTCTTGTTACTATGTGGAGAACAAACAGGTGGGGTTGGGGGAGAAACGAGCGGTGTTGGTGAACATGTACTCAGGAGGCACATTCATACCACAGAATTTCAGACAAGAGAATAATGGTTTGGACTAGGATGGTAATAATGAGAATCAAAAGGATTTAACATGAAAGAATATTCAATTTAATGAAATAATGGGCAGAAAGACAATGTCACAAAAATATCAATTCTCCCCAGTAGTTATAATTTTAAAAATGTTATTTTAAGGTGATTGTAAACTATTATAGAAAAACAAATGTCCAAGAATAGCCAGGAATACTTTGAGAAAAGATTCTATTTGGAGACAGGGGATACTTATTCTACCATGTATCAAGAAGGTATAAAGCTATAGGAATTAAGAGTCATTGTTTTAGGAATAGACAAGCTAGATAACATGAACATTTTCATCAAAAACTCAGAAACCATCCTATACACATATAGATACTTGATAGAGGATAGAAGTTACACTGAGCGAGGCTGTGAAATTGATTATGGGAAAGCAAAAACATAGACATTGATCCTTATTTCATAAAAATAAATTCCACATAAGAGAAAGACCAAAATGTGAAAAATAAAATAAATTTATGAAAAAAAATTAGAATTGTTTTTGGCTTTAGAATACTTTTAAATAAACTCAAAAAGCATATATATATGCATATATATATATATATATATATATGTCCTAAAAAGAAGAAAAGTACAATGCATCCAACAGAAAAATGATCAGAAGCAATGCCTAGGTATGCTACAAGAAAGGAAATCCCAGAATGACTAACAAGCATGTAAAATTTGCTTAGGGTCACTAGTAATCAAGTAAATGTATATTAAAACCACAATGATGCAATAGGCAAAAATGACAAAATTAAAAAGTAATATAACACCAGATATTGGTGAGCATATGAAACAACAGGAATACTGTGCTTGTACACTATACACACATCTCCAAACCAGTTTGGAGGGTAACTTTGCAGTGCAGAAAGTTGAAGATGTGCATGACTCAGTATATACTCCCAAGTACATGATCTAGAACTGCACTGTTCAATGCAGTAGCCACTGGCCATTTGTGGCTATTAAATTAAAATGTATTAAAATTAAATTACATTCAGTTCTCCATTTGCATGAGCCACATTTCAAGAGCTCAGTAGCTACTCTGTGACTAGTGACTACTCTATTGGGCAGCACAATGAACATTTCTATAATTGTAAAATGTTCTATTCAACAGAAGTGATATAGAAGAATTCTCATACACATGGACAAGAAGATGTTTATAACAGCTTTATTTGTAATAACAGAATACTGGAAACCATTCAAATGTTAATACAGTCATTGATAAACAAAATGTGGTATGTTTATTTGGAATACTCGAATGAAAATAAATAAAACTACATATACCAACAAGAATGAGTCTCACAAACAATGTTTAGAAAAATTGAGAGGTAACAACGTGCTAGCAGCCCTTGCTTGCTCTCTGTGCCTCTTCAGCCTCAGCGTCCACTCTGGCCATGCTCGAGGAGCCCTTAAGCCGGCCGCTGTGCTGTGGGGGCCCCTCTCTGGGGCTGGCCAAGGCTGGAGCCGACTCCCTCTGCTCGCAGGGAGGTGTGGAGGGAGAGGCACAGGTGGGAGCCGGGACTGCAAGCCGCGCTGGCAGGCTGGCCTAGGTTCTGGGTGGGCGCGGCTTGGAGGGCCCCACACTCCACGTGGCCAGCCTGTGCCTGCTGGGCTTGATCAGAGGCTGGGTCCTGTGCATGGACTGCCAATTTCCCTCTTCGCAGGGTTGTTGGCCAGGATGGTGGGTCTCTGTCTCTTTCTCGCTTCCCCTCTTTTCCTCTTGGTTGTCTGGGGCAACCTCTCTCTGGGCTGCCAGAATGCCAGAGCTAGGAGCCACAAAGTCTGGCAGAGAGTGCCAGTGAGAGGTGAAGTTGGCTGGGCTTCTTGGACAGGTGGGGACTTGGGGAACTTTTCCCTCTAGCTAAAGGATTGTAAATGCACCAATCACCACTCTGTCTAGCTAAAGGTTTGTAAACGCACCAATCAGCACTCTGTCAAAATGGACCAATCAGCTCTCTGTAAAACGGACCAATCAGCTCTCTGTAAAATGGACCAATCAGCAGGATGTAGGTGAGGCCAGATAAGGGAATAAAAGCAGGCCACCTGAGCGAGTAGCAGCAACCTGCTCAGGTCCCCTTCCACGCCATGGAAGCTTTGTTCTTTCTCTCTTCGCGATACATGTTGCTGCTGCTCACTCTTTGGGTCCCTGCTGTGTTTTAAGACCTGTAGCACTCACCACGAAGGTCTGCAGCTTCACTCCTTAAGCCAGTGAGACGACGAACCCACCAGAAGGAAGGAACAACTCTGGACGCACCACCTTTATGAACTGTAACAGTCACCGTGAAGGTCTGCAGCTTCACTCCTGAGGCTGGCAAGACCACAAACACACAGGAAGGAATGAACAACTCCTGACGCGCCACCTTTAAGAGCTGTAACACTCGCCGTGAAGGTCTGCAGCTTCACTCCTGAAGTCACTGATACCACGAACCCACTGTGTCCAGAATTGGTGGGTTCTTGGTCTCACTGACTTCAAGAATGAAGCCCCGGACCCTTGCGGTGAGTGTTACAGTTCTTAAAGGCAGCGTGTCCGGAGTTTGTTCCTTCTGATGTTTAGATGTGTTCAGAGTTTCTTCCTTCTGGTGGGTTCGTGGTCTCACTGGCTTCCAGAGTGAAGCTGCAGACCTTCGCTGTGAGCATTACAGCTCTTAAGGTGGCGCGTCTGGAGTTGTTCGTTCCTTCCATCTGGAGTTGTTCATTCCTCCTGGTGGGTTTGTGGTTTCACTGGCCTCAGGAGTGAGGCTGCACACCTTTGTGGTGAGTGTTACAGCTCATAAAGGCAGTGCGGACCCAAAGAGTGAGCAGCAGCAAGATTTATTGCAAAGAGCGAAAGAACAAAGCTTCCACAGTGTGGAAGGGGACCCAAGCAGGTTGCCACTACTGGCTGGGGCAGCCTTCTTTTATTCCCTTATCTGGTCCCACCCACATCCTGCTGATTGATCCATTTTATAGAGAGCTGATTGGCCCATTTTACAGAGAGCTGATTGGTCCATTTTATAGAAGGCTGATTGGTCCATTTTGACAGAGCACTGATTGGTGCGTTTACAAATCTTGAGCTAGACACAGAGTGCCGATTGGTACATTTACAATCCTTTAGCTAGACACGAAAGTTCTCCAAGTCCCCACTAGATTAGCTAGACACAGAGCACTGATTGGTGCATTTACAAACCTTGAGATAGACACAGGGTGCTGATTGGTGCATTTACAAACCTTTAGCTAGGCATAAAAGTTCTCCAAGTCCCCACTAGAATAGCTAGACACAGAGCACTGATTGGTGTGTTTACAAAACTTTAGCTAGACACAGAGTGCTGATTGGTGCATTTACAATCTTCTAGCTAGACATAAAAGTTCTCCAAGTCCCCACTAGAACAGCTAGACACAGAGCACTGATTGGTGCATTTACAAACCTTGAGCTAGACAGGGGGTGCTGATTGGTGTGTTTACAAACCTTGAGCTAGAGTGCTGATTGGTGTATTTACAATCCCTTAGCTAGACATAAAGGTTCTCCAAGTCCCCACTAGACTCAGGAGCCCAGCTGGCTTCACCTAGTAGATCCCGCACCAGGGCCACAGGTGGAGCTGCAGGCCAGTCCCACGCCACATGCCCACACTCCTCAGCCCTTGGGTGGTCGAAGGGCCTCGGTGCCACGGAGCAGGGGGCGGCACTCATCGGGGAGGCTTGGGCCATGCGGGAGCCCACGGTGGTGGGAGGCTCGGCCATGGCAGGCTGCAGGTCCCGAGCCCTGCCCCACAGGGAGGCAGCTAAGGCCCAGTGAGAATTTGAGCGAAGCGCCGGCCCGGCACTGCTGGGGAACCCGGAGCACCCTCCACAGCTACCGGCCCAGGTGCTAAGCCTCTCACTGCCTGGCGTGGCGCCAGCCGGCTGCTCCGAGTGCAGGGCCCATGGAGCCCATCTCAACCCAGAACTCGCAGTGGCCCGCAAGCACCACACGCAGCCCCAGTTCCCGCCCCCACCTCTCCCTCCATGCCTCCCCGCAAGCAGAGGGAACCAGCTCTGACCTCGGCCAGCCCAGAAAGGGGCTCCCACAGTGCAGTGGCAGGCTGAAGGGCTCCTCAAGCATGGCCAGAGTGGGTGCCAAGGCCGAGGAGGCACCAAGAGAGACCTAGGGCTTGCAAGGGCTGCCAGCATGCTGTCACCTCTCACCACCAGAAGGAAGAAACTCTGGACACATCTGAACATCTGACAGAACAAACTCTGGACACACCATCTTTAAGAACTGTAACACCACGAGGGTCCGTGGCTTCATTCTTGAAGTCAACAAGACCAAGAACCCACCAATTCCAGACACAAAATTACGATGCAGAATATACATGTATAACAAGGAATAAATTTTTTAAACGTTATAATTTTGATAATTTATAAAATTTTAAAATGGGAAAAACAACCTGTATGTGGTGTAGACATATATTATGCAAGTGTAAGTATATTAAATTGTGTGGGAATAACAGACATCAAATTAGGATAGTAGTTATCCTAAGAAGTGGACGAGGGGTGCCAGGTACACGGATGCATAACTGTGTTGCCGATATGTATCATATTATGCCATATATTCCAGTTATTTCAAAATAATGCTATTTCTAACATTCAAAAAATGAGTTTACAAATTGATTAAACATGTTTATATTTTATGTTTTTATATTTCTACTTTATAAATACATATATTTAATAAAATATATATATACAAATTTACCCTAAATATATATACCTGTATTTTCCTAACTAAGCCAGTTAGTTTTTCACAGGCAAGTAAAAATACCACAAGCTTTATCAAAACAAGACTTTAAAAAGTATACACAGAACTGTCTAAAAAATTTTCATTCCTAATTCTTTATTTAAATAAATACAGTACTACTCCTTTAAAGACAAATTGTGAAGGGAAGAAAATCACCACTGTAATTTCACCACCTTTGCTACTGTTTTTATTTATCTTCTCTTGGCTCACATGCCTACACATTTTGCATTGTTGCAGTCATGGTGTGTATCATTTTATCTCCACCTTTGCATGAAATTTTGGAGAAACAATTGTTCCAATGAAATTATTAGATGTTAGTAAAAGTTTAATGGCTGGTACATATTTCACCGATTTGTTGTAAGTATAGTTTATTTCCTTCTAACTTTTTTACTACTATAAATGCCACTGTAATTTATATCACGTGAGCTGTTTCTTTAGACAATATCATGAAGAATAGATTTAATGAAGCAAGTTATGAATGGTTTATATGATGTGTTTTAACTTGTTTTCTTGCTTGTGCAAAGGCTATACCAATGTACAATGCCACCAGCAATGTATGGAGTTCATTTTAAAACACCCTTTTGCCACCATTGAATATTACCAATTTAGTTTTTGTCCTCCATTTTGTTTATTTTATTTGTATAACATGGTATATTTGTTTTAATTTGAATTTCTTTAAATAACTGTGAAGGTAAACATTTATAGTTGTTTATTCCCCATGTATGAATTATCTACTTGTGTCTTATGTTCATATATTTGGTGTTTTGAAATTTTATACGTGAGAATTAGATATCCCTTATAATTGTTAGAAATCCTTTAACACATTTCTGCAATTTTTTCAATTATATTGTTATGTTTACAGCTTATTTTCATTATAATGAATTTTAATATGTATCATTGATGATTTCTTTTATAACCTCTTATATTTTTTCAAAATTCAGAATACTGTCTCTCCAAATAGCTGCTTATGGACATTCCAGAAATAAAGAATGTCACCACCTCCAGAAACCATTCATTCCTTTTCTTGAATTCTGTATTTGAATTCTTCTGAACATGATTCAACTAAAATCTGTTTTCCTTACATTTCAACTGAATTTACATAATGTTGGTCCTGATTTTAGTCACTGGGCCATACTGACAAACTCCTTTTCAAATATCTTTCCAGCACACTCTTCTTCAGTGCTAGATTTCTCCCAAACTATATCAGTTGTTCCCTTCTAGAAGTTCTGGAGTTGTTTATGTGCCTCTGTATGTGTCATGCCCAGAACCACACACCATGTTCCAGGAGAAATCTCTTCAGCCAAAGACATACTTGGTTTAGAATCTGAGGCTATAAATTGGGACTCTTTTACTGGACTTCTCTGTCTTACAGAGAAGAAAAATATATTTTCCTCCCAATTCGCCAAGTGATCTCTTCTGATATATTTGAAATTCGTAAATACTGTAAAATGCTAAATAAGAGTACATTTGTATTCAAATTATATTCTCCCAAGTGTGTTTACAAAATTATCGTTCTAAGAGCGTATTCAACATTGTGAAAAATCACATTCTATTCAGTGGTATTGTTACTATTCCATGAAGAATCCAACAGCATGTATTTTCTACTTCGAATTGAATTTTTCTAGTAATTTGGATTTTTGATCTGTAGTAAATACATTTCTGAGCACAGGTCTTCATACATCTTTTCATCATCTCTAAAAGATATTCCAAAAGAAGATAACTTTGGCTCGTTATGAATAAAACAGCTTGATTTTATTTTAATAATTTGAATCATTTTAACTGCAAAGTAAAGCCAATAGACATGGAATTGGTATCACTTTGGTTACATTCTCCCTGTACCTAGGACAGGACACTAGTAAAATAGTGCACCAAGTTATGATTAACAATAAAGCAGAATTATTACATTGACAAATTTGACACATGTTTTCTGAATGTTCATTTTTATTATTCTGTATATGACACCTGTTAACATTTCCAGAATTTGATCAGTTTTTTTCTTTAACTGCTAAAACTTCTACTTTGACTTTATCAAACATGAAATATTTTATGTATTACTTTATGCATTTTTATCACATCTTTTGTAGTTACTCTCCATCCTATTACTCTTACTGTCTGATAACCATCACTTTGTCATTAATGTAAGACTGCTTAAGCAGCTGTGCTCCAAGCCTTAGAGAAACTCTTTGAACACTTGTTCTGATGAAAGGACAAAAATCATAGTGATGGGTTTGAGTAAGGAAGCCATGAAGGCCAGGAAAGCCTCTTAGCTGGCTTCTAGCTTAGGCCTTAAAGAGGAAAATAGAAGTTCTAGCTCACATTAGGTCCAAGGAGTTTGACCAAAAGTAGGTTTTGCGGCCAAAGCCCCACCTAGGGGCCAAAGAGTAAATATTTTGGGCTCACATTCTCTGTTGCAATTACTCAACTCTGCATTTGTAGGACTAAAGCAGACATTCATAATACATAGATAAATGAACATGACTGTTTCTCAATAAAACCTTGTTTGCAGAACCAGATGGCAGGCCATTTTTGGCCCATGGGCCATAGTTTGTCAACCTCTACTCTAAGTTATAGATACCCTGGGAAGTTGCAATGGCAATATATACAGCCTGCTTGATATTCAGGAATGTGTTGTTCTAAACTTATTTTTCCATTTCTTATATTTAAATATAGAGGAAATTCGTGATTGAAATCCTAAAAGCCTTTTGGGAAATGCAAAGTAAAAAAGACCACATTTTAGAGCCTTTACTCCAAATATAGTCAAGCTGCCCACCCTAGTAAATCTTGCCTCTGTCTTTCCTTAGCCTCCAAACTCTCTGCCTGTTCACTCTGAACTAATTAAAGCTGAGAATGCATGACCACAGAAAGACCTTTGCCTTTCCAGTGACCTACAAATAGATGTATTTTTACTGCATACATTAAGAACTCAAGGCTCCAGAAACAGATTCTCAGAATTTACCAGGCATAAAAGATACAGACAACCAAACCTAGCATCAAGGATTTTATTTGACCTGTATAAGCAAGTGAATATACTTTCTTTAATCCATAGGGCTGGGTGGCATTGCCACTTTGGAACCCAGGGAGACAAACCCATATATCTTTTATAAGCCTGAAAGCCTAAGTATGCTCACCTATAAAATGGAATTAACAATATTACCTACTTCATAGGGCTTTTGCGAAGTTTTAATAAGATTATTCATGAGTACCTAGTACAGTGCTTAGCATAAGTACTTTTAAATGTTACCTATTATTATTAATACTTATTCTCAGTGCCAAAGAGGCTGGTAGGAGGACCTCACCCTAATCCCTTTACAAAAAGCCACTAACAGCTAACTAAAAGCCACAAGTTTGCTAACAATTAGCTTGCTGAATTTTCTTCCCAAGATATATTCATTTATTCAGGTCCCCAAAATGAGTCAGTCATATCCCTAATAGCAAAGATATATACTACACATTCTACATTTCTCCTCTTGAGCCCATTATATGGATCATTATTCAAGCACACAACTCTTTCCTTCTGAACCTAGAGGCAGCCAGAAAATCTAGCTCATTAGGGATCTAGGAAATCCAGTCTTGTCCTAGCATCTCTGAATTCACTATAGCCATATCAGAGGGCTGTCTCATGAAAGCTTCTTTAGCTCAAACCCTGCAGAGAAATATGAGGCATCAGTTCAGAAAAGTTTGGGGAAAATTGTAAAAGCAACCTGATTTCTTTTCTAACCACCAAAACTGTAAGAGAGGAATAGATTTAGACTTTGTGAGATCTCTAAAAGTAGCATCAGAATTCATCTTCATTTGGAGCAAAAGGATATGTAGAGAGATCGACAGAGAAGCATATAGACAGATATCAATCTATGTTAGTATAGATACAGATATCTTTATGACAAGTGCTAAATAATATTGCCTATTGATATGGTTTGTATCTGTGTCCCTACTCACCCTCATGTTCAGTTGTAATCTAATGGTTGGAGGCAGGCCCTGGTAGGAGGTGATTGTGAAGGGGGACAAGGAAGTGCTGTGTAGAGAAGGGCAGGTCCCTGTCTAGGGCTCCACCGGCGGACCTGTGCCCACTGACCTAGGTGAGGACAGTCATTTCTGTTTTTGTGCCCAAATGTTGAATTTTCCAAGACCACCCTGGCCCACCATGCCCCCATCCTGTGCCTATAAAAACCCTGAGACCCTAGCGGGCATGTCCACAAGCAGCTGGACATCAAGAGGCACACACCAGTGGAAGAACACACAAGCAGCTGGACGTCAGGAGGACAATGAGAGGGGCACACCGGCAGAAGAACACACTGGCAGACACCAGCAGATGCTGGCAGGCCAGCTGGTGGAACGGCATTGATTTTGGCCAGGGTAGTTGGAGGAGAACCTGGCCACTGGTCAGCCCAACTCCAGGGGAAAACCACCTTCCCACTCCACCCCCTTTCTGGCTCCTGCATCTGCTGAGAGCTACCACCACTCAGTAAAAAACCTTGCATCCATCCTCCAAGCCCATGTGTGACCCTATTTTTCAGGCACACCGAGGCAAGAACCTAGGATACAGAAAGCCCTCTGTCCTTATGATAAGGCAGGGGGGCCAATTGAGCTGATAAACACAAGCTGCCTATGGACGGCTGAACTGAAAGAGCACATTGTAACACATGCCGACTGAAGTTTCAGCCGTAAACACTCACCCGTAGACACTGCTGTAGGATCGAAGCCTCACAACCTGACCGTCTGCATGCTCCCAGAGGTTTGAGCAGCGGGGCACCAAAGAAGCAAGCCACACCCCCATCACGCACCCTGTGAGAGGGATAAGGGAACTTTCCTTCTTTCAATTGGATCATGGGAGCAGTTTCTCATGAATGGTTTAACACCACCCCCTTGGTGCTATTCTCGCGATAGCGAGTGAGTGCTCGTGAGATCTGGTTGTTTAAAAGTGTGTAGCACCCTCTCACTCTCTCTCTTACTCCTGCTCCAGCCATGTGAAGTGCTTGCTTCCCCTTTGCCTTCCACCACGATTGTAAGTTTCCTGAGGCCTCCCTAGAAGCCCAGCAGATGCCAGCATCATGCTTCCTGTACAGTATGTGGAACTATGAGCCAATTAAAGCTTTTTTCTTTAGAAATTACCCAGTCTTAGGTATTTTTTCATAGCAGTGAGAAAGTGGACTAATACACCTACTTAGGGCCACTCTTATTCACTGCCCCCTGAAGTGGTCCATGCTCCATCTGGCTGGTTCAGTATAGGATCCCAAGCCTTTACTTCAACTCAAGAATATGCCAGAGTTTACAGGCATTTTTTTTAGTCTGAGCCACCAAAAATATCTGTGTCTTTGGATTATTGGAGGGATATCAATATTAGTTATCCAAAATTTCCCAAAACATTCTGAAACATTTGAAAGTTTTTAGAAACAAGGAATGTGTTTTTAAACATCTTTACACCCCTGCTCTCCCACTTACTAACTTAGTCTTGGTGAACTTCATTTTCTAAAAAATGTATATATATCCTAACACATAGTGTATTTTATTAATAATGTCTAACATATAAAATTATCTAAGGAATTACATTCTTTTATTTAGTTAGTTATATTTATTTAGTTATTGAGACTAGTGGCTTTAACTGGAAAATAAATAAATCCAACGAAGGTTAATCATAAAATGGAATACACAACAAACCCTGATATAAATAAATTTGTGGGGTCCAAAACAAAACAAAAGAAGTTGAAAAGTTATTCCTGAGCTTTAAACCAATTCCCAAAATTACAATGAAAGTGATGGTCAATATAAAGAAATAGTGACAACTCCCACTGTGAAAGTAGGAGCTCTCCCTAGGTCCTAGTTATTTCATATGCCATGCTGGGTGCCCTTAGGAGGAAGGGTATAACATCTGCCTGGTGTCCTTTTTCTGCCTTTCTCCGGCTCCTACAGCAGAGGCCAATATATGTGTACCTGCTGATTGGGCTTTCTTGATCAATCCTAGTCATGGGAGAACCCCAGGAGACACTTTAAGAGCTTTAACCCAGTTCTCTGGGACTGGGCTTCTAGTGATTCTTGCTCTTCATCTGGTTCTAATATTTGGTTTACTGTTTCCTAAGTTGCTCTAATGGTCTTCTAATACCTAAATTCCTATTTTATTCCCTATAGTATATTCCCAGAATCTGTAGATTTGGAACCTTAAATTACTTTTTAAAGTCCCCTCTCAAAGACTAGATTCTGAATCATTGCATAGCAAGCTTCTCAATGAACATCAAAATGGACTAAGGCACGAATGAGAAGTGAAATGTAATTGTGTTAAGCTACTGAGATTTTAGTGTTGTTTGCTACAGCACTTAGTCTGTACCTAGATTTTCTAATTGATGTTGGAGATTCTGGCTTCTAAGTAGGAAGGTGGTCAGCAGGCTGAAAATCAAAAAAAGTGTTCTTCTATGGAAAATACATTTGCAAAAAAAATGTGTTGCCAACAATAATTTGGTAGGCAGGTCATGTGCCTACTGAATTATACCTCTAGGGGAAGAGGTTGGAAAACAATGGTAGTAGTATATGCTAGCTAGTGTTGTCTGCATTTGTCAGGGTGTTAGAAGAAAGAGATGAGCTCAGGAAAGAGTTGTCCATGTTGCAAGCAGAAATGAGACAAACCTGAAAAAGTCTAAAAATTTGGGCCATGAACAGGTTGGAAACGTCTATGACTACAGCTTCTGGATCCCAAACAGTAAGTGATGTGATTGGGAGAGACTTTGGGTAATCAAAAAACATCTGTGGGTTAAAGTGACTAAACCTAGCATCAAATACCACATCAATCACCAGTTTTAGCCACCTTAAAATCATTTCAGGTGTTTTAGCCACCTTAAATTAAGAAAAAGAAAAATAGGGAAATTAAGCAATAAAATCAAGCTGATTAGAGACCAATGTCTGGAAAGCAACTTGGATGTGGTTACAGGCACATGGTATTGATTGCAAGCAAACAAATCTCAAACGTTGTGGAAATTGCATGGCAGATAAAACCAGGAGGGTAGTCTAAAGGAACTTGTAACTAAAGAACATTTTAAAAACCTTTAGGTGGGCAGTGCACTGGCAAAGCTCCGCAGCCCTAAGGAAGTCTTCAATCACTTCAGATATGCCAAGTAAGACATGATAAGGAGGTCCCTCCCAGAGAGTAGAGTCGGGGGGCCATAGAAAATAATGTGTAAAGGAGTTCCTTACAGAGAGCAGATCCAAGGAAGAATCAAGGATCTTCCTCTGCTCTCAGGACTGACAGCCTTCACAGTGTTTGAATTACCCTTAAACAGTAACTGCTGTGTCTCTTTTTTTCATCCTTACCAAATGGGACTGTTTGATATGGTGGATATCAGGGACAGATACTAAGTTTACAAGTCATAGGACTATGCGGAACTATGTGTGATATGATGATGTAGAGGACATATTGAGGCCCAAGACTTTGAGCAAGATTTTGAAAATGAGTGTAATCTATGTGTGGGAAAAAAAGAAGAAACTGAAAATTTGGTTACCAGGAGGAGTAGATTATGGTGGAAATGCTAGTGTTCACCAATATCCATGTTCCCTTTTCTTGGACACACAGAAAAACTATATTTTCCAGCCTCTCTTGCAATTAGATATGGTCAAGTGATTAGATTCCAGTTAAGGGAGTGTGGTCAGAAGTGTATCCTAATTCTAGGTATAGCGTGCAAAGCCTTCTGCAATGGAGGACTCTGAGAGTCCTAGAAAGGTTAGAATACTACAGCACATATCTGGCTCACTGACTATCTTTGTGTAGTCCACAAATAAAATGGTTTTGCATTTTTTAATAAATTATATTGGAATAATATTTTATGACATGTAAAACTACATAAAATTTAAATTTCAATGTCACAAATAAAGTTTTATTAAAAACATTCATGTTCACATTCATTCATATTGTCTATGTCTACTTTTATACTGCAATGGCAGAGTTGAATTGGTGCAATAGACAGCATATGTGACAATCTCATTGCTGTAACATTCTGACTCAATACACTACACACTGCAATGATGTTATTATAATTTGACAGCATTTGAGCCATGTATATTATTGTACCATGGCATTTTACACATAAGTATTTTTTTCTATGAGTGCGTGTCCATCAGGGAAAAAAAAAAAAAAAACGAAGAAAGGCAGAGAGAATAGGACTTTCAATGGCACACTTGTAAGGTAGAGTAACGTGGATTATTTTGTTATCAAATTAGGTAGCAAAACATTATGTTTTTTATGAAATGACAGTATACTTGTGGTAGACAAAATAATGGCCTCCCAAAGATATCCAAATCAAGACCTGTGAAATCTGTGAATATGTTACCTTACATCCCAAAAGGGAGTTTTCAGATGTGATTAAGTAAAGGATCTTGAGATAACATTTTTCTAGTGGTCTCAATGTAATTACAGTGGTCCTTATAAAAGGGAGGCAGGAGAGTTAGAGTCAGAAGAGAAAACTGGAAAATGGAAGCAAAGATTGGAAAGATGTGATTGCTGACTGGAGCCTATAAGTCAAGGAGTTCAGAAACACTATAGAATCTGGGAAAGCAAAACAAACAAACAACAAAACAGATTATTCCTTAGATCCTCTGGAATGCTTTGGTTTTAACCCAGTAATATCCCCTTTGGGGTATTCTATACTCCAGAATTATAAGAAAATAAATTTGTGTTAATTCCCTACATTTGTTACAGCAAAAATAGGACAGTAAGACAACACACATGGGTATTACCAAACTAAGCCTTCATCACAACATTCTCAACTCATAGGTAAGCAATGTCCAGAAAAATTAGGAAATTAAAAACAAAATATCTCATGGTAAAATTTCGTCACAAAAGTAAAAAATGAAAATGAGGCTGCACCCTCAGTAAGCTTCCAAGTGGCTTGTTAGCCAAGCAAAGAAAGCTGTTACCTGATGATGAGTTAATTAAATCATATTTGACTGTAGTAGTAGAAGAAATGTACCCAGAGAAAATGAATCTAAAACTATTAGCCTTTTGATGCAAAGAAGTTGCTCAAACAGTTAAGGATATGAGAGCGATATCAATAGGCAACAAAAAAATAAGGCAAATGATTTTAAGTGGTTTGTCTTAGTTCTTCATGAGTAGATGTTATGTGTACTGCTCATTGTTATTGTTTATTCAATGCTGAGTTTGAAGTTACTGAATAATCTGTGTGGAACAACTACAGGTGAGCTTATTTTCAAAGAAGTTGAGAAAACTTTAATTCAGTACACCCTGAAGTGGGATCTGCTAAGATGTGTTTCAACTGATAGTGGTAAAAATATGTGTACAGCAGAAAAAGATTTAGCTGGACAAATTCATAAAGGCAGTGAAAAAATGAGGTATTTAAAGGCTGTGATCATCATCAGGTACTTTGCAGAAAAAATTTTACTCTATCATGTGTTATTGAACCAGAGTCATCAACAGTGAACTTCATTTGCTCTCATGGACTTACTTATCATCAATTCCATGAATTTTGGTCAGGAATAGAAGCTAGATATCTTGACTTGTTTTACCCCACAGGAGATCAAGGGCCTGTCAGTGGTAAAATTTTTTTGTGTTTTTTTGAGCTTCTGGTCAAAATTAAAATTTTTCTGGACAAGGAAAATTTCACTCAGCTGTGATTAGCAAACACTAAATAGCTTTGGAAAACAGCTTTTTCCACAGAATTGATCATGTTTAAGAAATCCAACCTAAAAATTTGAGGTAAAATAGCACTTACAAGTAAAACTTTATAAAGTTATTTTCATAACAACTTGACTCACAAGTCATGTCAAGCTGCTTTACACACTTTCTGTTCTGTAAATTTAAAGGAAGAAAAAAATCTCCATTTCCACACAAATTTGCAGCAATGTTTTTGGACCTCAAGACAAGTGCAAAAGAATTTCCCATTTATAAAAACCTATACTTACTTCCATATTTCAAAACTGTTCTAATGAGGAGCTTCCTCTTAATCTTCAATTAAAAGTGATTAGCCTGCAATGCAATGACATGTTACAAGACAAGAGAAGAATCTAATAGAATTCTGCAAATGTTTTCTTTTTTATTTTATTTTATTTATTTATTTATTTATTTATTTTGAGACAGAGTCTCGCTCTGTCACCCAGGCTGGAGTGCAGTGACGCAATCTCGGCTCACTGCAAGCTCCGCCTCCCGGGTTCACGCCATTCTCCTTCCTCAGCCTCCTGAGTAGCTGGGACTACGGGCGCATGCCACCACACCTGTCTAATTTTTTGTATTTTTTTAGTAGAGACGGAGTTTCACCGTGTTAGCCAGGGTGATCTCGATCTCCTGACTTCGTTATCTGCCCTCCTCGGCCTCCCAAAGTGCTGGGATTACAGGCGTGAGCCACCGTGCCTGGCCTCCTGCAAATGTTTTCTAAGAGATGAATATGGTCAATTAAATTTGTATGCTCACAGATTGATATCAATATTGAACAGAATTTATCTATTTAAAAAGACACATACCTGTAATCCCAGCACTTTGGGAGGCCGAGGAGGGCAGATCACGAGGTCAGGAGATCGAGACCACGGTGAAACCCCGTCTCTACTAAAAATACAAAAAATTAGCCAGGCGCAGTGGCGGGCGCCTGTAGTCCCAGCTACTCGGGAGGCTGAGGAAGGAGAATGGCGTGAACCCGGGAGGCGGAGCTTGCAGTGAGCCAAGATTGTGTTACTGCACTCCAGCCTGGGCGACAGAGGGAGACTCCGTCACAAAAAAAAAAAAAAAGACATACAAAAGATAAAATATATAAAATTTTTTACAGATCAGCATTATCCAGTGAACATTTGCAATCATTTTGATGACAAGGGAACTAATTTTGAATCCCAATTAAGCCAAAGTGTATCCCCCAAAAGAACTATTCAATTTTTCTCATTAGTACACCTGTATTACAGAGAATTTCATTGTTATTATATTTTTAATTTCATCAAAATAATACTTGCCAAAATTTGTTTTCTCTCTTGTTACATAAGTACCTAGATAATATATTTGATTTTGTCTATTGGCTGGCAGGCCTAAAATATTTACTATCCAGCCTTTACAAAAAAATATTTTCTGATCCCTGCTCTAGCAGATGGTGGAGGGAGCCATTAGATACAAGGGGACTGTATTTCTAATCACTATATGGGAGGCTGATTACCAAACATCCCACTGAATCACAACACAAGTGAGAAATTAACCCTTGTTGCGGTAAGCCGCTCACAAGGTTGTAGGTTGTTTGTTACAGCAGCCAATATTATTTACCATGACTAAAACAACCTCTTAATTACATGACTGAAATTCACATTTCAGGAAATCTCAGAAACCACAAGTATTTCCACGAAAAACTGTCACTTCAGGAAATAGCTACAGATATATTACCTTAGCAAAGTAAATCAGCATAATTTGGTTTTTGTTAATTCAGCCAACATTCTTTTGAGGCACTGTGATTAAGGCAGTATGCAAGGTTGATTTGATATTTTTTTTAAGCTACAAATTTCCACTTATTTTTAAATTGAGCAATTAAATGTATTTATTATTAAGTCAATAAATTGTAGAAGCCTCATGGAATCGTTTGTTCAATGAAAGTCTTTACTAAGACAAAGAACATGTATTTCTGCTTTCCTAAAAGAGGAATTTCTCTTCTTTTTAGAATGATACTATGCTGTTTTCCACTGGCAAATTAGAAAAGAATAAATTTCAAGGTCTGAATTGGACATTACTTTGAAATACCCACAGAGAGAACATTTAAAATACTCCTATAATAAAATGCAGTCATCAAATTGCCAAAATTTGTCCCAGTTGCATGAAGAACTACAGAAAGCACAACACTAAGGAGAGAGATGTTCTCCTATTTGGCATTATAGAGTGAAAAATTACCTGAAGTGAAAAGCATTTCACTTTCTGATTCTGAGTAGAATCAGGTCTATAAAATTAAATGATATAAGTGTGGCCCAGTTTTAATTTTTTTAAATTACATTTTTAAAATATTTTCTGGATACCTATATGACAGTGTATCCTAGATCACACTTTGATAATCTTAAGCAATGTTTTCTAAATGTTCCCAGGCATGAGAATTAGTTAGGGTGAGGAGGTGATTGTTAACATGCTGGTTCTCATATCCCAGAATCAGATTCATTAAGTGTTGTGAGGGACCAAGGGTCTGCACTTTCACCAATTCACCTTGGAGGTTAAAATGTTCACTTTGAAAGTTAGAATGTATGCTAGATATCAGGAACTGGCTAATTTAACCTCTTTTCTGCCTTCTTAGACTCCCTTGCAGCTAGGGTTCTGTCTGCAAATTAATTCTGTTAACTAGATGCACTTGTGGGAAACATGGAAGACAAAACAGGGTGGAAGCCATCTTTTTGCCCTCTTTTGGGCTATGTCTGCTTTAGCATGGTTATGGTCATGGATTTTCTCAAGTAATGTTTTAGTGTGCATGATCCAGTTTTCTGTGTGCTAAACAGTGGCTGTTTTAGAAGTAGCAGTAGTCCTTTTTTTCTGGCATAATTACAGTTATTACCTATTGTTCTAGAATTGTTCCTGGAGGTTCAGAGAGGAAATAAACTTTTAAAATAACTTCCAACTATTTTGTAAGCACCTAATTCCCAATATCATGTCAGTTCCTGCTTAAAATAGAGTGGTTTCTGCTTATTGAACTGAACTGTAACTAATAAGGAATGTGACACCAATGATAACGTGATACAGCAGTGGGCTCTAGAGCGGTACCATCATTTGTACCTCTTGAAACCTATTCTTTCCTCATCATATAGGAATGTGTTTGTGAGAAAAAGTCAGTAACTGTATCAAGATACCCTGGAATTTCCTTGATTGATGCTTGGACAGCAAGTATGCTTGCCCACTGCTATACTACCTCATCCCTTGCCCCCTACCACACACACATCAAAAGACAAGGATCACAGAAAGTGTTTAATCACTGCTTCTCCAGGTGGAGACATCCTCAGGCTAGGACCACAAAGCCCTCCTGGTAGGGCTGGAAGCATGTGTTTGTTGAGAGACGGGATCTACCAGACGGTAAATTTCATGAGCATAGATGCTTTTGCTTGTTTTCATTTTTCTCTTCAATGCTACTATTACAAAACCCAGGACAATGCCTGACAATCAGTTATTATTATATAACACATTTAATAAACATTAAAAATGTTTTGAATGATGAATTAACCTAGGATAATCTAAAGAAGTTATCACTTCTTAGTAAGTTAAGGCTTCCACAGCTATGTGCTGCCTCAGGGGTAGAATGGGATATTAAGACATTTTTTAAAAAGTTTCCAAGGTCTAGAAACAAGGATAGGATCTAAATGGTCTGAAACTTTGCCAACCAACCCCTACATTTATGAATACTATGATTCTCACCTTTATGCTTTGTTGACTGGGTAGGCCACTATGTTGACCCCATGTTGTGCTCTCACATGTTGTTCTGAGCTAATACTTGTCTACAACTAGACCCTCAAATTATGCCCTAGAAACAACTCTGCTATTTCCCCTTAGAATGCAGAGCCTAGCCTTGCACTTCCTTGATTTTCTAACCCCTTGCAAAACTGGGTGCTGAGATGAATGCTATGTCTTAGTAATAGAAGCAAAATCTAAGTTATCAAAATTATCAGCCACATGTAAAGACAAGTAATCATAAGGTGGCTTAAAGTTGAGCCCCAAGGCACTGGGCTGATATTATGTACATGTCCCTTCCTACAGTCAAGATTGGTCCCAGAAATTTTGAAATAGTTGATGACTGGTGGTAGACATCAAGGTGTAAGAGCTATGAGGAGTTATTTATATAAGTTAAGATAAACTCTGCTGAGGGAAATTTTATTTTATTCATTTGTATCACTTGCTGATCTTTGTAATCAAACAGGAAATTCCTAATGTTTGAAAAGATGGAAGCTCTGTGGAGACAATATTCAAACAGTATTTTGTCGAACTCATGGCTGGTACCTCTCTGCAGGATTCTCTCACTTTCATTATTATTGCCACTATTCACTCTTTAAAACTGATCCAATAATGAGAAAAATCTTAACATTATTAAACTTCAGCATAACTGAGCTATGTGAGAATTTTTTTAAATTGCCAGTGGTTCTAAAGTATATAACATTAAACAGTAATATATAAACAGCATGAACATTCTTTTCCTAAGAATAGCTACAATCCTATAAAAACTCCCTTCTAGTATCCAAAAAGACCTTATACATTATCACCTGTTTCTAGCATGGCTTTCAGCCCTTTTTGATTTTTGCCTATTTCCATGAGACAGGTGCCATCTTAACTCTGTCTCAAATTTACTGATAAATTTCCCAACCTTGTCTCTTATATGGAAATATCTTCTATTCTAGTGTATATTGAAATTGCTCTCCCACAACTCAAATACTGTTTCTAAATCACCAAATCTAAATCATTTAGCTCACATTAGAGCAAAAGACAAAATTGTATTTTGATTATTTATTCTTCAATAACTGCTTGAACTTTGTATAGAAACTCATTTATTTAATACAGCAAACATATATGGAAAGCCTCTCATGTATTAAGCACCGTGCAAGGCTCTAGGCATACAAAGAAGAACAGTCACTGCCTTCCCTTTCAAAAACATGTGTGGTACCATGGATAGGTCCACAAACTATCAACTAGATTGCAAAGCATGATATAACTTGAACTGAACTATAAAATGGAATTATCAAAGTGAACACTTAATTGAGCAAGCATGGAGAAAAATGAAGGTTGGGATTCATCCAATATAGCAAATAGCCACTGGAGTCATTTAAGAGAGTAATCTTAGTTGAACTGTGATATGGTTTAGCTTTGTGCTCCCACCCAAATCTCATCCTGAAATTTAGTTCCCATAATTTTGTGTCATGGGAGGGACCCAGTGGGAGGTAAATGAATCATAGGGACAGTTACCTCCATGTTGTTCTCGTGATAGTGAGTGGGTTCTCACAAGATCTGATGGTTTTATAAGGAGCTTCCCCACCTTCACTCTGCACTTCTCCTTGCTGTAGCCGTGTGAAGAAGGATGTGTTTGCTTCCCCTTCTGCCATGATTGTAAGTCTCCTGAGGCCTCCCCAGCCATGCTGAACTATGAGTCAATTAAACCTCTTTCTTTTATAAATTACCCAGTCTCAGGTATGTCATTATTAGTAGTGTGAGAATGAACTAATACAGTAAATTGGTACTGGGTAGTGGGGCGCTGCTATAAAGATACCAAAAACGTGAAATTGACTTTGGAATTGGGTAACAGGCAGAGGCTGGAACAGTTTGGAGGGCTCAGAAGAAGACAGAAAAAAATGTGGGAAAATTTAGAACTTCCTAGAGACTTGGAGAACTCAAAAGACAGGAAGCTGTGGGAATGTTTGGAACTTCCTGGAGACTTGTTGAATGACTTTAACCAAAATGCTGATAGTGATATGAACAATGAATTCCAGGCTGAGGTGGTCTCAGATGAAGATAAGCAACTTCTTGGAAAGTGAAGTAAAGGTGACTCTTGCTATACTTTAGCAAAGAGATTGGTGGCATTTTGCCTCTGCCCTTGAAATCTGTGGAACTTCTTGAACTTGAGAGAGATGATTTAGGGTATCTGGTGGAAGAAATTTCTAAGTGGCAAAGCATTCAAGAAGAAGCAGAGCATAAAAGTTTGGAAGATTTCCAAACTGATGATGTGGTACAAAAGAAAAAGTCATTTTCTGGGGAGAAATTCAAGCCAGCTGCAGAAATTTGCATAAGTAATGAGGAATCAAATGTTAATCACCAAGACATTGGGGAAAATGTCTTCGGGGCATGTCAGGGACATTCTGGCCAGCCCCTCTCACAGGCCCAGAGGCCTAGGAGGGAAAAATGGTTTTCTGGGCCAGGTCCAGGGCCCCCCTGCTGTGTGCAGCCTCAGAACTGCATCTCAACTGCTCCAGCCATGACTAAAGTGAGCCAAGGTACAGCTCAGACTATTGCTTCAGAGGGTGCAAGCTTCAAGCCTTGGCAGCTTTCATGTGATGTTGGTCCTGTGGATACACAGAAGACAAGAATTGAGGTCAGGGAACCTTTGCCTAGATTTCAGACAATATATGGAAATGCCTGAATGTCCAGGCAGAAGTTTGCTGCAGGGGCAGATCCCTCATGGAGAACCTCTGCTAGGGCAGTGCAGAAGGGAAATGTGAGGTTGGAACCCCCATACAGAGTCCCTACTGGGACACTGCCTAGTGGAGCTGTGAGAAAAGGACCATTGTCCTCCAGACCCCAGAATGGTAGATCCACAAACACGTTGCACTGTGCACCTGGAAAAGCCATAGACACTCAATGCCAGCCTGTGAAAACAGCCAGGAGGGGGCTGTACCCTGCCAAGCCACAAGGGTGGAGCTGCCCAAGGCCATGGGAGCCCATTTCTTATATAAATGTGCCTGGGATGGGCACATTTGGAACTTCAGGGTTGAATTACTGCCCTATTGAATACTGGACTTGCATGGGGCCTGTGGCCCCTTTGTTTTGGCCAATTTCTCCCTTTTGGAAAGGTTGTATTTGCCCAAGGCCTGTACCTGCATTGTGTCTAGGAAGTAACTAACTTGCTTTTGATTTTGCAGGTTCATGCAGAAGGGAGTTGACTTGTCTCTGATGAGACTTTGAGCTATGGACTTTTGAGTTAATGCTAGAATGAGTTAAGACTTTGGGGAACTGTTGGGAAGGCATGTTGTGTTTGGAAATGTGAGGACATGAGATTTGGGAGGGGCCAGGGGCAGAATGATGTAGTTTGGCTTTGTGTCCAAATCTCATCTTGAATTTTAGTTCCTGTAATCCTCATATGTCATGGGAGGGACCCGGTGGGAGGTAATTGAATCATGGGGACATTTACCTCCTTTCTGTTCTGGTGAGATTGAGTGAGTTCTCATGAGATCTGATGGTTTTATAAAGGACTTTCCCCGTCTTCATTCTGCACTTCTTCTTGCTGCCACCATGTGAAGAAGGACGTGTTTGCTTCCTCTTCCATCATGACTGTAAGTTTCCTGAAGCCTCTCCAGCCATGCTGAATTGTGAGTCAATTAAACCTCTTTCTTTTATAAATTAGCCAGTCTCAGGAATGTCTTCATTAGCAGTGTATGAGCAGACTAATACAGATTGGATTGTACTGTCTGTGAGATATACCTTTTTTCTCAACCAGATTACATCAATTCTAAAGGTCCTTCCTTACTTGTCAAAAAAAAAAAAAGGGTTAGATAGGAGGGGCAGAAAAAGATGGCAGAATGGAAGGCTTTGCCAATCATTCCCCCCTGCCCCACAAGACCAATTTAACAAATATGTACACGCACCAAAAGTACCTTCAAAAGAACCAAAAATAAGGTGAGCATTCACATTACCTGGTTTTAACTTCATATTGCTGAAAGAGGCACTAAGATAGAAAAAACATTCTTGAATCACTGAAGCCATTGATCTCCAGCCCCTGGTGGCTACAACATGGTGTAGAGAGAGCTTCTGTGTGCTGAGGAGAGGGAGAGTGCAGAAATTGTAATGCATTGAACTCAGTGCTGCTCTGTTATAGCAGAAAGCAAAATTGGACCAAACTCAGCTAATGCCCATCCACAGAGGGAGTCTTTAAGCCAGCCCTAGCCAGAGGAGAATCATTAATTCCAGCAGTTGGAACTTGAGTTCCTGCAAGCCTCATCACCACAGGCTAAAGTGAGTTGGGGCCCTAAATAAACTTGAAAGACATTCTAGGCCACATGGACTGCATTTTCTAGGCAAGTCCTAGTGCTGAACTGGGCTGACATATGACCTAGTGAGATACAAGCTGGGATAGCTAAAGGAGTGCTGACATCACCCCTCCTCTAACCCCAGGAAAACAGCTCATGGCTCCAGAAGAGACCACTTCTTCCCGCTTGAAGAGAGAAGAGTGGAGAGGACTTTGTCTTGCACCTTGTATATCAGCTTAGCCACAGCAGGATAGGGCACTGGTCAGAGTTGCAAGAATCTCTTTCTTATTAGATTTCTTGGTCTAATAAGAAATCATCAGTGAGGAAAGGCCATCCATACAGTATCTCAGAAGGGCTTAGACCTAACTTTGAAGGGGTGTTTATTACTCACTGTAAAGCCATGGAAAGAAGGATAACCCAAGGAAGGTGAGTTTCTTGGGACAGTTTTCTGAGGTGTCTTTTGATGATATCATTTGTCTTCTCCTCTTTTCCTGAGGACTGGGGTCTCCAAGCACAATAGAGATGATACCGTATGCCTAGTGCCTTTGAGACCCCCTGAAAAATAGCTGCCTTAAATGAGGGGTAGTTGTCACTTTGGAGGTACTTAAGAAGACCAAAACGGGGAATGATTTCATTAACTAACACACCTTTACTACCTCAGAGGCCTTTTCTATATGGCATAGAAATGCTTCCACCCAGTTAGTGGAAGTATCTACCCATACCAGGAGGTATTGGATGCCCTTTGTCTTTGGCATGTGAATGAAGTCTATCTGCCAGTCCTTCCCTGGATAGC
Source organism: Homo sapiens (assembly GCF_000001405.40). NCBI lineage: Eukaryota > Metazoa > Chordata > Mammalia > Primates > Hominidae > Homo > Homo sapiens. The sequence continues at coordinate 44,481,181 of NC_000012.12, read as the reverse complement.
TTCCCATCCTTTGGGTTTGAGGAGGAAGGAGCCATCTTCTCAGGAGATTATTTTTAAGACAGACTTCACAAGCATAACAAACTGTTTTGCTGTGCTTAGTAAGTTCTTTCCTGAAAACAATCTCTGGGCACATTGTTAAGTTTTATCCTTTCCCAAGTGAAAAGCTTGGTGAAGGAATTTAAGTACTTTCCACTGGCTAGAGGCTGGCAAGGGGAGCTTGCCATCCTCTGACTACAGTCATCCAGAGGGCTGGAAGGTGTACCCTCGAGAAGAGGCCCATTCTATTTCTGCAGGGGAGTACTGAGGCTTGATTTCTCTTGTGGAGCCTTCCCACATTAGAGGAGCTTCAAGTGTGTTGATGTCGTGAGGCTTCCTTGTTGCTGATTTGGCTGCCTGACCACCTAACTTGTTTCCTTTGGCTATTTAATCTACTCCCTTCTGATGTCCCTTACAATGCATCACTGCTACTTCTCATGGAAGAAAAACTAGGGATAATAACCTGTTAATTTCCTGATGGTATTTTATAGGAGATCCATTGGTGGTGGGTAGTAAGAAAATGCCTTTCCTTCCAAATGGTAGCATGAGCATGGAGAACTAGGAAAGCACACTTGGAGTCAGTGTAAATGTTAGCCACTTTTCCCTTGCTTAATTCAAGTGCTCTTGTAAGAGCTATCAACTGGGCTAGTTGGGCGCTTGTGCCTGGAAAGAGAGATACACTTTCAATAACATTATTCAGAGTGACTACTGCATATCCTGCCTTACAGACTCCTTAGTCTACAAAGGAGCTTCCATCTGTGAAGAGGGTCCAATCTGGATTTTCCAGGTTAGTTTCCTTGAGATCTTCCCTGGCCACATAGGTCTGTACCACAACTTGTTCACGGTCATGTTCAAGTTCCCCAGCTCCCTCAGGTAGGAAAGTAGCTGGATTTAAGTGAGAGCAAGTTTTTAACTGGATTGTAGAACTCTCTAACAGTAGAACTTGATATTTAAGGAGGCTGCTGTGTGTTAACCAAAGGCTTCCCTTAGAGGACAGTAATCCCACCACATTACATGGGGTATAAACAGTTAAGTCATTTCTCAGGGTTAATTTGGATGTTTCTGGGACCAGTAGGACCACTGTGGCAATAGTTTGGAGACATGCTAGCCTTTCTTTAACCACCAAATCAAGTTCCTTACTCAAGTAACCCACTGGCTATTGAACTGGTCCTTGGGCCTGTGTTAAGACTCCAGAGCCATTCCCTTCCTTTCTGATACATAAAGATTGAAGGCCCTTCCTACAGGAAGGCAGAGAGCTGGTTCCTTAAGTAGGGCCTGCGTTAGCTGGATAAAGGCCTTTTGAGCTTCAGGTTCCCAGGTTAGGAGATAAGTTTTAGCCACTTGAGTTTCTCTTATGTGATGATACCAGGGATGAGCTATCTCACCATACCCAGGTATCCATAGCCTAAAAATTATTGTCCATGTATTGCAAAACTTTGGCCTGAACATGGGAAAACTCAGAGAGGTCTTTTGACAATGCCTGTCCAAACAAATCAGGGCTATCTCAAAATCCTTGAGTCATCCTTTAAATCTAGGACTATAAACCATTTAGTTCCCTCAAGTATTTGGGTCAGCAAGGTATAGGGATTAAGTACTATTGGGTGGATTGGGACTACAGCTTTATTAATGAGATGGAGGTCCTGAACTAGTCTCCATTCCTCATTGGGTTTTTGCAGTCTCCTAATATTGGGGTGTTGCAGGGGCTGTTGCAGGGTTTGCAGAGGCCCTGTATCTTTAGGTTATTAATAATGGCTTCTAGCTGTCTCTTAGCCTCTGGCTCTAGAGGATATTGTTTCTGGTTAGGAAAAAAAGTGGGGTCTTTAAGATGAATTTGGATTGGCCTAACAGTTACAGCTGAACCTATTCTTCCTTGAGTTGCCCACACTTCTGGATTGATATTAGCTTCCACGAGGGGGAGACAAAAAGATTGTCCTGGGGCTATAAAGATATTGGCCCCCATGTAAGCTAAAATGTCTCTACCTAATAAAGGTAAAAATAAAAACCTAATAAGGTTTTCTAGCATGATTAAAAAGGCATGTGTAAATAGTAGGTTTCCCCATCTGCAACTAATGGGTTGAAAAAAGTATATCAAATGTAAGTCTTTCCTGAGACTCCCCTCATGGTTGTGCTATAGGAATAGGGAAGACCTGTATTAGAGAGGAGCAGAGAGAGGCTGACTCCAGTGTCCAGAAGGAGATCCACCTTCCTTACTTCAATTTCCAGAATCACAAAGAGCTCCTGTGCTGTAATGGCAGTATGAGTCACTGGAGCTGTGGGTCTGAGCCCCGGGATGCATCAGTCCAGTTGTACTATCTGAAAGACTGATTCTGAACCTGCTGACCTTTGTTTCTGGGGGCAGCCCAATTTCCAGTGGTCCCCTGCCACATGCTGGACAGGGTCATGGTGATTTCTTCTTGCTGCCTGGGCACTCCTTCTTAAAGTACCCTGACATGCCGCACCAATAGCAACTAGTGGATGCACCTCAGGGATCCTGGATTTTGCAAGTGTGCGAAGCAGCTACTAGAGACTCTGTCCTTCTCTTTTGCTTCCTCTCTTTCTCCTGGTCCTCCTCCTTGTCCCTATTATAAAAGACTGAAGTGGCCACCTTCAGGAGGTTCTCTAAGGTGCTATCTGGTCCTATAGCCTGCTTCTGTAGTTTCCTTCTAATATCAGGAGCTCCCTGTATAATAAACTTGTCCTTTAGGATGAGCTGTCCCTCCATTGATTCAGGGGATAGGTAAGTGTGCTTTATTAGCCTCTCTAAGTCTTTCCATAAAAGCTGCGGGACTCTCATCCAGCTTTTGGTCTATCATGGACAGTTTAGAGCAATTAAGATGTTTGGCCCTAGTTCTTAGTAGGCCCTCCAATATGCACATTTAAAAATGTTTCTTTTTCCATTCATCTGTAGCATCATTGGGGTTCCAATTAGGGTTTTCAAGAGAAACTGCTTCCCTTCCTATTGGGAATGGTGTTTCCATTATTTCTCGGCCTTCCCTATTTCCCCTTTTCCTTTCAGGCCTACTATAGGAGACATATTACACATTTTTGAATCTCTCTGCTGCCTGCAGAGCTGCCTGCTTCTCAGCTGCAATTAGAGTTTGGCTTAGGAGCAGTATAACATCTCTCCATGAGAGGTCAAATACCTGAGTTAAATTTTGGAAGTCTTCTATATATCTCTCAGGGTCGTCAGAAAACCGACCTAATCTCTTGACTTGCCTACGGTCCTGCAGTAATTAGTAGACTAGAGGAGTTAGGGAACTGAATAAGGGGGATTCACAGATTGTTCCCCTGGAAGTTGCTTCTCTAACTTGGGAGAATCATTCTCTATAGGCCTGCCTGACATGACTGCTAAAAGAGCTGGGTTGATTGTGCAACACTTGCGATGGTCTAGTAAGAAGGTCAAGTTCTTGTGCAAAAGCAAATGAGCCCCTTTTTCGTTAAAGTTTCAGGGTCAAAGAGTCCTTGTGCTACAGAATGCACTCCAGAGGTGTGCAAGCTGAAGATAGTGTGTTACCCATTTAGAAAGAGATGTGAGAAAAAAGTGTCTATTTAGTCTCCTTCCTTTTGATGTGACACAAAGTGGAGGGGAAGACAGTGGTGGTGTCCCCTCTGCTGTATTCACTCCATGGTTCCTGGGTCCTGGCACCTTGTTGAACATGCCACCCATGGTTTCAGGCTTGACCCCCAGACATGGAACCAGAAGAACTAAGCGATTGGAATTAGTCACACTCACCCACATGACTATAGTCCTCTGCCTGTGATTGCCCTTTGACTTCCTAGACTTGTGTGACCTGCCTGGCTCCCCAAAAAATGGATCTCAGGAGAGACTATGTGACAGTTGCATTTGGGCAACTTTTCTACTTCCCTCCTTAATGGAGAAAGAGTGCTGGTTTGAGCTCTATATCTTGCTATTATGGCCCATGCGAAAACTTTTACCCTTAGAGAATGGGTCCAGTTAACTTCTGAACTTAAAATCCACTCACTAATTAAGTACCATTCTAATTGGAAGCAGAATAGGTGCCCTTAAAGAATGGAGGGACCAAATGGCCATTTTCCTGCTGATAAGACAGTATTGATACTAAAATTTCACTTCTGAGGATATTTTACTCCTAGTTGTTGAAGGTAGAATTTTCCCATTTACAGAAGCAGCATGAAGCCTGGTTTCAAGTACAGAGGCACAAAAAGGGGAGAGAATTGGGGAGCTAGAGTGTTTCGGTAGAGGACCAACAATGCACCACATGGAGAGGATCCCCTGGGTGGTGCTGTTGACCTTGAAATGTCATATGCTCTCCAGACCAAGGGCAGAGAAACCTGGAAATGCCATGTTCTCTCCAAACCAAGGGCAGAGAGTGACCTGGAAGTGCCATGTACTCTCTAGACCAAAGACAGAGAGAGATCTGGAAATGTCATATGCTCTCCAGACCAAGGGCAGAGAGTGACGCTCACTGTGGGCTGGGGACCCTGTGTTCCTAGAAAATCACAAAGACGCCTTCCCTTGAGCTATATTCCTGGTTACTATAACATTTCCTGATCTTGCTAAACAAGATTACTTCACTTAACTGTAAAACTTCCTGTACATTGCATACACAGAGAGGGCAGGAGATATGGTGGTCATGAAAAGAAAAGGAGGAAATTATGATAGAAAATTTGGAGATCTTGTTGCCAACACCCCATTGGGCAGTTGGAGGCTGGAGTCAGTCCAGAAGCCTTCAGATAACATTGGGGGGTATCCCCAGCCAGAAATCCTCAGTTGCTCCAAAACCTCTTCCAGCCCCATGTGACAGCTAAGTCCTCTGTGAAAGGAAGCTTAAAATATGGCCAATATGTCCAACAACCTGTAGGTGCTGTGGGATTCTCCATGTTCTCCCCAGTGAGCCTCACATCTGAGTCTTCAAAAACTGGAGCCATGCTGTTTTTAACTGGCTGATGAATGCCTGTTACTGATTTTATGTCATTCTAAAATGGAGGTGAGAGCCCTGAAATGAAAGGACAGAGTTTGAGTCTGCTCCTCTACTCACCATTTCAATGAATGTTGTACCTTGGTATCTTGGATGAGGTCCCCAATATGAAGCAGCTATGTTGTCTGGGGTATATATCTGGGTTTCATCATCTCATTCCAGGAAAAGTTAGGACACAGACCCACATGATGAGTTTAGGAGCATAAGTTTAATAGGCAGAAGAAAAGAGAAAGAAAAATAGCTCTCTCTGTAGAGAGAGAGGTGTCCCCTGAGTGAAAAAGACCAGCTGGTGGTGGATATGCTGGATTTTATAGTTCAGCTTGAGAAGGCAGTGTCTGATTTACATAGGGCTCGCAGATTGGTTCAATCAGGTATGACATTTACCTAGTGTGCAGGGAAGGCTAGTTGCCCCTCCTAATCTTATTGTGCAAATAAACTTTCTTTGGCCAGTGCCATTTTTATCTGCTCCTTACTGTACATATGGCTGGCAGGGAAGGGAAGATGGAGCCGCCATCTTGAACATGTCTAGTCCCTAGTTCCTGCCGGCATTCACCTGTGCAAGCTCCTAGCTTGCTTGTCTATGTCTGCAACTTGACTTTACAGGCTGCTTTTGTTAGAAAATGGTTTGGAGCTGCTTTTTATTAAAAAGTAAAGCCTTACCAAGATTACCATGCCCTTACTATCTGCCTAAGTGATTACTTCTTAATTCCTGTATCAAAGGGAATGGAAGAGCCCTTGGTCCTTAAGGAAACATCAGTGGTCATCTGACAGTACTCTCTGTAAGCCTGTGGTGGCAGTAGCTATGGAGTGAGGTTCCTCAGCCTTTGGAAAGGGGAGGGAAGAGTAGGAAGGACTGCATATTGTGGGTTGAGTGCCAGCTCAGCTGCAATACAATAGAAAACCAAGTAGACATCTAAGGTTTTTGACTCTAGTCCCTGACTTCTGGATGGCACTTCTGGACCCACTCAAGACCTTGGGGTCCTCACTGCCCTGAAAAGAAGGACACAGACCTGGCTGGCTTTGCCATTTGCTAATTGTAGAGCACCAGGTCCCTGATGGAACATAGATGGTAGTCAGGGAGTTGTTACCGCAGCCCTTGGGTGAGACTCAGTACTGTGCTGGCTTTAGCTCTGATGAATATGACAAATACAGTCATAGTGCTGGTGGCCACAGGGGTGCCTTCATCACTCCATCCCTAGTTTTAAGTGGCTCAGGACAGAGAGGGAGACTATATATTTTGAAAAAAGGAAGAAAAGAGGACAAGAGTCTCTGTCTGATAATCCAGAGAATTCTGGATAAATTTAACAAAGAGATTTAAATAATAAAAAAGAATCAAGCAGAAATTCTGGAGCTGAAAAATTCAATTGGCATACTGAAGAATGCATCAGAGTCTTTTAATAGCAGAATCAAGCAAGGAGAAGAAAGAATTAGTCAGCTTGAAGATAGGCTATTTGAAATACACAGTTGGAGGAGACAAAAGAAAAAAAAAAGAATAGAAAACAATGATGCCTACAGGATCTATAAAATAGCTTCAAATGGGGAACTCTAAGAGTTACTTACCTTAAAGAAGTAAAGAAACAGACAGGGTAGAAAGTTTATGCAAAGGGATAATAACAATTCAAAGGGAAGAGAACTTTCCAAAGCTAGTCAAAGATATAAATATCCAAGTACAAGAAGGTAATAGAACACCAAGCAGATTTAACCCAAATAAGACTACATCAAGGCATAATAGTCAAACTCCCAAAGGTCAAGGATAAAGAAAGGATGCTAAAAGCAGCAAAAGTAAAGAAATAACATACAGCCAAGTGCAGTGGCTCACACCTGTAATACCAGCACTTTAGGAGGCCGAGGCAGGCAGATCCTGAGGTCAGGAGTTCGAGACCAGACTGGCCAACATGGTGAAACCCCACCTCTACTAAAAATACAAACAGATTAGCCAGGTGTGGTGGCAGGCACCTGTAATCCCAGCTGCTCAGGAGGCTGAGGCAGGAGAATTGTTTGAACTGGAGAGGCGGAGATTGCAGTGAGCCAAGAACTCACAGAAAGAAAAAAAGAAATAAATAACATACAATGGAGCAAGCTTTTCAGTGCAAACCTTACAGGCCAGGAAAGAATGGCATGACATACTAAGGTAAAAGAAAAAAAAAACTTTAACCTTAGAATAGTATATCCAGGAAAAATATTCTTCAAGCTTAAATGAAAAATAAAAACTTTCCCAGACAAACAAAAACTGATAGACTTCAGCAACACCAGACCTGTCCTACAAGAAATGCTGAAGGGAGCACTTCAATCAGAAAGAAAAGGACATTAATGAGCAATGAGAAATCATCTGAAGGTAAAAAAAACTCACTGGTAATAGTAAGTACATAGAGAAACATAGACTATTATAACACTGTAACTGTGGTGTGTAAACTATCCTTACTCTAATTAAAAATAATAGACAATAAAACAATCAAAAATAATATATAATTACAACTTTTCAAGACATAGACAGTACAATAAGATATAAATAGAAACAACAAAAGTTAAAAAGACCTGATAGTGCTGAAAAATACACTACATCAATTTCATAATGCAATCACAAATATTAATAGCAGAATAGACCAAGCTGAGGAAACAATCTCAAACTTTACACACTGGATTTCTAAAATAAGACAGTCAAACAAGAGTAGAGAAAAAAGAATAGAGAGGAGTAAACAAAACCTTCAAGAATTATGGGATTATTATGCACATAATTATCACATTCTCCAAAGTCAAAATGAAAAAAAAATTAAAGATAGGAAGACAGAGAGGTCAGGTTGCCTACAAAGGGAAGTCCATCAGACTAACAGCAGACCTCTCAGCAGAAACCCCACAAGCCAGAAGAGATTGGGAGCCAATATTCAACATTCTTAAAGAAAAGAAATCCCAACACAGAATTTCGTATCTGGCCAAACTAAGCTACATAAGTGAAAAAGAAATAATATCCTTTCCAGACAAGCAAATGCTGAGGGAGTTCATCATCACCAGACCTGCCTTACAAGAGCTCCTGAAAGAAGCACTAAACATGGAAAGGAAAGATTATTAGCCACTACAAAAACATACTAAACTACACTGACTAGTGACACTATAAAGCAACCACACAAACAAGTCTCCATAACAACCAGCTAACATCATGATGACAGGATGAAATCTACACATATCAATACTATCCTTGGATGTAAATGGGCTAAATGCCCCCAATTAAATGGCACAGAGTGGCAAGCTGGATAAAGAACCAAGACCCTTGGCATGCTGTCTTCAAGAGAACAATCTCCCATGCAATGACATTCATAGCTTCAAAATAAAGGAATGGAGGACAGTCTACCAAGAAAATGGAAAACAGAAAAAGGCAGGGGATGCAATCCTAATTTTAGGAAAGACAGGCTTTAAATCAACAGAGATTTTTAAAAAGACAAAGAAGAGCATTACATATTGGTAAAGGGTTCAATTCAACAAGAAGACCTAACTATTATAAATATATATTGCACCCAACACAGGAGCACCAAGATTCATAAAGCAAGTTCTTAGAGACCTTCCAAGAGACTTAGACTCCCACACAATAATAATGGGAGAATTCAACACTCCACTGACAGTATTAGACAGATTATTAATACAGAAAAGTAACAAAGATATTAAGGACCTGAACTCAACATTGGATCAAATGGACCTGGCAAATCAGAACTACAATGAGATACCCTCTCACACCAGTCAGGATGGCTATTATTAAAAAGTCAAAAAATAACAGGTGCTGGTGAGGTTGTAGAAAGTAGTGTGGTGATTCCTCGAAGACCTAAAAAAAGAAATGTCATTCAACCCAGCAATCCCATTACTGGAATAATACCCACAAGAATATAAAGTATTCTATCACAAAGACACATGTACAAATATGTTCATTGCAGCACTATTCACAATAGCAAAGACATGGAATCAATGTAAATGCCCATCAGAAGTAGATTGGATAAAGAAAATGTGGTATATATACACCATGGAATGCTATGCCTCCATAAAGAAGAACAAGATCATGTCCTTTGCAGAAACATAGATGGAGCTGGAGACCATTAACCTTAGCAAACTAATACAGGAACAGAAAACCAAATACTGCATGTTCTCACTTATAAGTAGGAGATACATGATGAGAACACATGGACACATAGAGGGGAATGACAGACACTGGGGCCTGCTGGAGGGTGGAGGGTGGCAGAGAGGATAGAATTAAGAAAAATGACTAATTTGTACTAGGCTTAATACCTAGGTGACTAAATAATCTGTACAACAAACCTCCATGACAAGAGTTTACCTATATAACAAACCTGCACATATGCCCCTGAACTTAAAAGTTACAACAGAAAAGAAACAAAAAAATGTTAGAAAGAGGGAGGATTAAGGTTACGTGTAGCATTTTTATTAGTTTTCTTTTTGCTTGTTTGTTTATGCAAACATTGTTAAGCTGTTATTAGCTTGAAATAATGAGTTATAAGATAATATTTACAAGGCCCATGGTGACCTCAAACCACAAAACATACAATGGATACACACAAAATAAAAAGCAAGAAACTAAGTCATATCACCAGAGTAAATCACCTTCACTAAATGGAAGACAGGAAGGAAAGCAGGAAGAGAAGACCACAAAACAACCAGAAAACACATAATGAAGTGGCAGGAGTAAGTTATTACTTATCAATAATAACATTGAATGTAAATAGACTAAACTCTTTAATCAAAAGACATAGAGTAGCTGAATGTAAAATAAAAATTTATGCCAAAAAAGAGCTGAAATAGCCATATCTATACCAAAGTAGATTTCAATACAAAAACTATAAGAAGGGACAAAAAGGTCATTAAAGGTCACTGTGTAATAATAAAGGGGTCAATTCAGCAAGAGAATATAACAGTTTTAAATGTATATGGGCCCAACACTGAAGCACCCAGATATATAAAGCAAATATTATTAGAGCTAAAGAGAGAGATGCCAATAAAATATTCTCTGGAGACTTCAACACCCCACTTTGCGCATTAGACAGATCTTCCAGACAGAAAATCAACAAAAAAAAACACACTTAATTTGCATTATGGACCTAAAAAACAAAGACAGAGTTATAGTTTCATATTGTATTATTTTTTATTTCTAGTACAGTTCTAAGTCTTTATTGCATGTAACTAGTACACATATTATGGAACACTTACCCAAAAAAATTCTGCTACATGGAATAATATTAATGGTATATGGGAACAAGTTCTCTCAGGAAAAACAGGAATTTCCTGTTCTTTTCTTTGGTATGCACTAGTAATTTTCTGCTTTGTACAAAAGTAGAACTTTGTACCAGTACAAATTTTAACTTTGTGCTGGTATACACTCTTTTTCAACTATAGCAGTAATCATTTTGAGGAGATCATTGCACACATTGGGAGAAAGATTACAATCTTTTTCATCCATTAATTTGTTTTTGACCTGCTGAAAGGCAAAACTACCTAAAATCATATATATATATATATATATATATATATATATATATGCCACATATATATGTGTATGTGTGTGTTTTTGACCTGCTGAAAGGTAAGACTACCTAAAAGTCACATATACATATATATGTATACATATGTATATATACACGTATATATATACATATATATGTGTGCATATATATATACCTATGCATATATGTGTGTGTGTATATATATGCACACATATATATGTGTGTGTGTGTATATATATATTACTTTACGTTCTGGGATACATGTGCAGAATGTGCAGGTTTGTTACATAGGCATATGAGTGTCATGGTGGTTTGCTGCACCTATCAAACTGTCATCTAGGTTTTAAACCTCACATGCATTAGCTATTTGTCCTGATGCTGTCCTTCCTCTTGCCAACCCCCACCCACAGGCCCTGGTGTGTGTTATTCCTTTCCCTGTGTCCATGTGTTCTCATTGTTCAACTCCCACTTATGAGTGAGAACATGCAGTGTTTGGTTTTCTGTTCTTGTGTTAGTTTGCTGAGGATGATGGCTTCCAGCCTCATCCATTAACTTTTATTTTTCAAACTCTGATTTACTGACTTTTAAAACACACTTGACTATAAGTATACAAAGTATTTGAATGTTAAATTTTAATAACATACAGGTTCTATTTACCTTACTATTTCTAAATCACAAGAAATCAGGAATTGCAGGACACAGCCAATTCTATTCATTTTTATTAAATATTCTTATATACTGTTTATCATTTTTCTATATTCTACGATAGACATTTATGGTTTCATTTTTTTAAAAAAATTACTTTAAAATAATTATCATAAAATTTCTAACTTGGGGACTACATGTGTCCTCTGAATATAACTAATCCTAAAACCTTTTCCCTTGTATTTGACAAGACAGAGAAAAGTAATGGATCTTATTAGAAGTAACTGTGTGAATCCACACAATTGTTCAAATGTTCTTGAAACATTTGCATTTGCTGTCAGTACTTGCAGAGTTTCACCGAAAAAATAATCCTGAGATTTAGTGAATCCAGTTCCCTCATTTCACTAATGAGACTCAGAGAAGAGAACTGAGGTACCCAGGACCATACACTCACTTAGTTTATGGCAAAAATGAGAATAAGAAACAGAATTTTAGGTTTCTATTTTAGGACACTTTCATTATAGCACAGCTGCCTTCTTAATTAGCTATAAAATAATAAAAGGTCACTTTTGAAATAAAAGTTGTAAGTAAAAGATTATTATACCCCAGATATTTAAATATATCTGTAATAAATAGTGCTATGAAATACCAGTTTCATAATTGAGAGCATTTCAGAAATTTTCACTAAAGTCAGTGTTCAGCTTGAGCTATAAGCAGTGTGGCATGTAGTTTTAAGTCAAGATAGTGCTGTACTATATACAGTCATATGCCACATAATGACCTTTAGGTCAATGGCAGAATACATATACAATGGTAGTAGTCCCGTGACATTATAATATTATATTTTTACCATACCTCTTCTATGTTTAGATATGCAAATACTTACTATTGTGTTATAATTGCCTACAGTATTCAGTACAGTAACATGCTATAATAATCAGTTCTCACATTGCTATAAAGAAATGCCTGAGACCAGGTGATTTATAAAGAAAAGAGGTGTGATTGGCTCACATTTCTGCAAGCTGTACAGGAAGCCTGATGTTGGCATCTGCTGGGCTTCTGGGGAGGCCTCAGGAAACTTAAAATTATGGCAGAAGGCTAAGGGGAAGCAACCACATCTTACATGGCCTGAACAGCAACAAGAGACGGGGGAAGTGCTATACTTTTAAACAACCAGATCTAATAAGAACTCACTATTGCAACAAAAGCACCAAGGCAGATGGTGTTAAACCACGAGAAACTGCTTCTATGATCCAGTCCGCCTCACAAGCCCCTACCTCCAACATTGGGGATTACAATTTGACATGAAATTTGCATCGGAGCATGTCTCCAAACCATATCATTCTACCCTCTTCTCCTCCCAAATCTCGTGTTCTTCTCACATTTCAAAACACTATCATGCATTCCCAACAGTCGCCCAGAGTCTTATCTCATTTCAGCATTAACTCGAAAGTCCAAATGTCAAAGTCTCATCTGAGACAAGGTTAGTCCCTTCCTACTATGAACCTGTAAAATAAAAAACAATTTAGTTACTTCCAAGATACAATGGGGATAAAAGCACTAAGTAAATATTCCTGTTCCAAAAGGGAGAAATTGGCCAAAGCAAAGTGACTATAATCCTCATGCAAGTCCAAAACGCAGTAGGGCAGTCATTGAATCTTAAAGCTCCAAAATAATCTTCTTTGACTCCGTTTCCCACATCCAGGGTAGACTGGTGTCAGAGTTGAGTTCCCAAGGCCTTGGGAAGCTCTGCCCTGTGGCTTTGTAGGGTTCAGCCTCTGTGGCTGCTCTCATGGTAGTGTTGAGTGCCTGTGGCTGTTCCAGGTGCAGGGTGGATCTACCATTTTGCTGCTGGTGGATCTACCATTCTGGAGTCTGGAGGACGATGGCCCTCTTCTCACAGTTCTACTAGGCAGTGCAGCAATGGGAACTCTGCCTGGGGGCTCCAACCTCACATTTCCCCTCCACACTGTTCTAGAAGAGGTTCTCCATGAAGGTTCTGCCCCTGAAGCAGGATTATTTCTGGACACCCAGGCTTTTCCATACATCCTCTGAAATCTAGGCAGAGGCTCCCAAGCCTCAACTCTTACACTCTATGTACCTGTAGACTTAACATCATGTGGCAGCCACCAAGGTTTACAGCTTGTACCCTCTAAAGCAGCAGCCTGAGCTGTACTTGGGCCTGTGTGAGCCATGTCTGGAGTGACTGGGATATGAGGAGCAGTGTCCCTAGGCCTGGCCCATAAAACCATTTTTCCCTCCTAGGCATCTGGGACTGTGATGGGAGCAGCTGCTGCAAAGGTCCCCGAAATGCCTTCTAGGCCTTTTCCCCATCGTCTTGGCTATTAGCACTTGGCTCCTTTTGACTTAGGCAAATTTCTGCAGTCTGCTTGAATTCTTCCTCCTGAAAATTGGTTTTTATTGTCTACCACATGGCCATGCTGCAAATTTTTCAAACTTTTTACATTCTGCTTCCCTTTTAAATATAACTTCCAATTTCAGATCATTTCTTTGCTCATGCATATGAGCATAGGTTTATAGGTTTATAGAAGCAGCAAGGCTACATCTTGAACCCTTTGCTCCTTAGAAATTTCTTCTGCCAGATACCCTAAAGTATCACTCTCAAGTCCAAAGTCTGCATATCCCTAGAGCAGGGGCACAACGCAGCCAGGCTGTTTGCTAAGGTATAGCAAAAGTGATCATTACTCCAGTTCCCAATAGTTTCCTCATTTCCATCTGAGACCTCATCAGCCTGGTCTTCATTGTCCATATCACTATCACCATTTTGGTCACAACCATTGAACAAGTCTCTAGTAAGTTCCAAATTTTTATCATCTGTCTGTCTTTTTCTGAAACTTCTAAACTCTTCCAATCTCTGTCCATTACCCAATTTCAAAGTCACTTAAACATTTGTAGGTACCTTTATAACAATGACCCACTCCTTGCTACCAATTTTCTGTAATAGTCAGTTCTCACATTGCTATAAAGAAATACCTGAGACTGGGTAATTTATAAATAAAAGAGGTGTAATTGGCTCATGGTTCTGCAGGCTGTACAGGAAGCATTGTGCTGGCATCTGCTTGACTTCTGAGGAGGCCTCAGAAACCATACAATCATGGTAGAAGATAAAGGGGAAGCAGGCATATCTTACATGGCTGGAGTAGGAGCAAGAGAGAAAGGGTGAGGACCTACACACTTTTAAACAATCAGATCTCACAAGAACTCACTATTGCAACAACAGCACCAAGGAGGATGGTGTTAAACCATGAGAAACGTCCTCCATAATCCAGTCACCTCCCCTGAAGCCTCACCTCCAGCAATGGAGATTACAATTTGACATGAGATTTGGGTAGGAATGCAAATCCAAACCATATCACTTGCTGTACAAATTTGTAGCATAGCAGCAATAGGCTATGCCATCTAGCCTAGGTGTAGAGTAGGCTATACCACATAGGCTTCTGTAAGTACACTCTGATGTTTGTACAACAATGAAATTGCCTAATGACTGATTTCTTAGAAAAGTATCCCTGTTAAGTGACACGTGACTAAATTGTTACACGTCTTTTCAATCAACAAACCCCTTTTGTACATTCCTATTTGCAAAGCACTGTCTTTATTCCCAGGGAAAATTGTTGGAGAAGTTAGAGAGGACTAAAGAGAAGTAAAGGATTTGGTTCTTATATTTCAATAAAATCTTCAATCTAAAAGTGGGGGAAATCCAAGAACAAATAAAGTAGCTTTTTGATTAATTTTTTACATTTTTATTATTTTACATTTTTTATTTGCTAAGCTATAGTGAAAGGGGGAATTATCCTTACCTTCTACCTCTCTTACCCCCCAAATCCCATTCCAATTATAAATATTATACCTCTTTCTTAAAAAAAGTAGTTCCAGAATCTGATACCTCTTGTTATCTCCACCATTGTATAAAAGTCTGGCTTCATTTGTTCATATTTTGAAGCCTCACCCCTCCCTGTTTGCCTTCTGCTCTACATCAGAGAAGCTGATGAGAAAGTCCTAGATACTCCCTCCTTTGGCAGTAGCAGGAAGTTCAAAGCATGCGTGGGAACTCTCAATCCATCCCCAATTTCTAACTACCATCAAAACTCCAAGTCAGTCTGCTTTCCCTGCTCTCTCTCAAGGGCAGATTTGGCCCTCTTTGGACCAACTTGGGAGGCTTGCCTTGTTTTTCCTCAAGCCTTAATATGTGAGTAATAAATCTTTTTATGCCCTGTTTGTATGAGTGTGTGTCAACATCAGTCTCGATATCTAAATGAAACTTTGATTGGAAGAACATCCTGTTTGTCTGAAGTGGTCACAACATGTTATCACACTAGTTTAAGCTACCATCACCACTTGCCTGGGTTATTACAATAGCCTTCTACATTTTTGATCTCCCAGCTTTAGCTCTTGTTCCAATTTTGTCTGTTTTCTGTTGGCCAACCAGGTTGATCATTTTAAAATGTACATCATATCATGTAACTTCTCATTCGAAATCCACCAATGGACTCACACAGAATAAGAGCTGACGTTTTTACCATGGACTCCAAGGCACCTTGTGATTATTCCTCTGTATCACTCGGAGACATTCTCTCTTTCCCTCTTGTCTCTCCCTTTATCATTTCACTCTGGCTAGCCCTGGTGGCTTTTTCATTGTTCCTTACACACACTAAACATACTTCACCTCATTTTCACTTACTATGCCCTCTGCTGGACTTCTGGTCCTTTGCTGTGTCTACAGATATCCTAATGGTTGGTTCCTTCATTTTCTTCACAACTCTTCAAATCTCACTTTATCAATGGGGCCTTCTCTGACAATCTCTTTATGTAAAAATAGTAACTACCTCACTGTCTGTCACTCTCAATCTCTATTACTCTGTTTTATTTTTTCTTTATAGCATGGATCACTCCCAACATATTATATATTATCAATTTATCTGCTTACTGTTTTCACCTAGAAATTAAGTTCCCAAAGGTCAGAAATTTTGTTGTGTTCATTGTGACACATCTTCCTCTCCATGTGTGTATGGGTGTGTATGTGTGTGCATACACATACACACACACACACAGAGAGAGAGAGAGAGACCAGAATCCCCAGAATCCATAATTTAAAAACATATCTTGCTTGTGTAACTAAGCTAATTAATTAATCTCTCCTTCTCTCTATAGACACACAGATATACAATAAACAACATCAAGAATCTTTTCTGATTCTTACTCCAAATCTCTATTTTCCCTGGATAAGCAGACAAGGGCAATATGCAGAATTAAAGAGTAACATTAAAAGAACTTAGTTTTGCCTCTTGGTCCTATTTTGGACATGCTGTTCACTATAAATGAGTTTCAATTGGCCTGTCATTTATGCAAGGAATATAAGGCTAAGTCTTAAACCCAGAGCTGTGGTTCAGCTTATGTCCAAGTGCATGAAAAAAACAGGATGCTGGAATCTGCTGGGCCTGGTCTATGACCACTTTAGCCCAGTTTACATTAGGGATGATGAAAATTAAACAGACAATTCTCTGAACTCCCTTGTTTTTTTTTTTTCTTTTTAGAATCCTGCCCTGCAACTTGCAGGTGGAGGGGCTTGCAGGATGCTATTTGGAAGGCTGCAGCTTGTCTCACTTTGTTCTTTTTGTCCTATTGAGTTGACTCAGCATGGCAGCCCTTTGAAGACAGTGAGAGCTCTCTGTTTGTATTCCCTCCAAAGAGATGCACACTTACTGAAGGCTCAGCAGAGAATGTAGAAATCAGACTCCTCGGCCAAGCAAGCCAGTTCCCATGGAAAGCTGTGTGAGGCAAGGTTCTCATAGGTGCCTTCGTGTTTTTACATTTTGATCCTCTACATCTTTTTATGTTAAATCACAATTTTAAAAGTAGATCTAAACTATACTTAAATGCAAATATTGAGAGGATGGGATGCCTGACTAGTAGGACCCATGGAGATCTGATATTCTTATTGCTGCATTTTATCTTTGTGGTGATTCTGGCACTAAATGGAAAATAAAATTCTGACTTACTCTCATGTTGCATTTGAGTTAGCAACTTTGAATTCGTTTTTTTGATACTTGAGTTTTGCCTTTATTTCTAACTTTCTTTAGAATATATAACATCTTATGCCTTTTATACATTTTTTGTTTCTACCATTCTTACCACATTTATCATACCATGTCTTGTATTTTAGTCACTTTTAAAGGTTGGTCTTCCCCAAAGTAAATGTTGCTTGAAGGCAAGGAAGATATTTTCATGTAAGCTCTATAACCATGGGCCATATCCTTTACCAGAAATCGGATGGTCTGGATACAATTTAAAATCTTGCTACCTAGTGTGAGTCAGCATGCAGGACATCTGTCTAGTGAGAAATAGTCTAAAAACAAAATAAAATAAAAACACCAATAATCTTTAGCTACTTCCCAGACATCAAAGGTCACTCATATTAAAAGGGCAGAGAGGATCAGGGACTACCAATGATAAGACTGCCATACCTGTCCTTGATCCTGGTTCCAACAGCAGTTTCTAGTTAGTGGGGGTTTCCAGCCAAGTTCTCAATCAGAAAAGGCAGTTGCCTGCTCTCATTATATCATTGGATTCATATAGATTTAAAGTTGTAAGGTATTCTTAGTAGATTAATATTTTATCCTTGTAGGATGTCTCTTTATCTTAAATAATACTGTTTTCCTTACAGTCTTACATTGCCTCATGGTGATGCCTTAATTTTTCTTAAAGTGTTTGTATTATACGTCTTTTCTCTACCTTTGGTTTTTAATCTTATTTTTAATGCATGATTCTGGTAAGCTGCATATACTTGCTTTTTCCCTTTATGTCCAGTGTAATGACTTATTATGGTATAATAAAAATGATTACTTTTCCCATTTCCCTAGCAATTTAGAACTGCAGAACTTTTATTAGCCCTCCCCTCCCATTTTTTGTGTTATTCTCTTCTGTGAAAGGTATCATTCCAATATCCTCTGACTTTTGTCATTGCTCTGCTATATTACAATAGTCCTATTTCTTCTGGCTGTCTTAATGCTTTCCTCTCATTTTTGTTTTTAAGCAGTTTCACTATGAAGTACCTGTTTTTACTGTTTATTCTGATTGGGGTTTGTAGCAGTTCTTGAATCAGTAGCTTGATGTCTTTCATCAATTTTGGAAAATTTTTATTTCTTATCTATTAAAATATTGTCTCTATTCTCTTTCTTCTTTCCTATGGAAACTCCCTCCATTGTACAATGCTTTTCTCTAGCCTGTTTAGTACCTTTAACCCTAACTTCCATTTTGACTGATTTTAATATTGATGCTCTTATTTTCTTTTTGTTTGCATTTGCCTAGTGGTTTTTATCTATCAGTCTTCTTTTTAAATAAGAATTTCATTATTAATTATTTTGTGCAGGTTACTTATGAACAATATAGAAGTCTTTTTGCTCTGTTTTCAGGAAAATATGACAGTTTCTGTCTTTAAATTTTTCATGTGCATGTAGCAGAATAACCTGTATACTTGATTTTATTTCCCCCTTTTAACTTTATTGGTTATTTAACCAATAAATAATATTTATTATTTATTATTGGTTAAATAGCCAATAAATAATATTTATTGGTTAAATAACCAATAAATCACAGCAGCTGCTTGATTCCAGATAGCAAAGCACCTTGGAGTTGTTGAGGAGAGGAAAGAGGCTGCATTCAGGCAGCCATGTTTCCAGAAACCTTTCTAACATGCCTCTCATATACATCTCATTTAATCCTCCTACAAAACATTTTCAATGAATTTATTCATTTCCCCTAGGTCTGCATTTAGGATAGATAACCTGCATAACACTGCATAGTGACTCATGCCTATCTTTGAAGATGAGCTGAAGAACTGATGCCTAGCTGGATCCAATTTGAAGCCTATTTATACCTTCTGAACATGAAATGTGGGCAGCAACAAATATACAAACTATATCAGCTTACTAAGGACCCCTCATTTCCTTCATCTTACTAACCTTCGCCTTGAAATAATAAAATTCATATTCTGGCATTCCTCCATTCCATATAATAGAATAGACAGAGTAAGATTGAGACTAAACATTAAGTGATGTCTGCATTCCTGCTAATGGCTGTCACTGGCTAGTAATTTATATAATTATGTTTTCATTTAACTATTCATTTATGCTTTATAATTTAAATATATTAAGAACTAAATGAAATATTTCCTGGAGTCCTTTCCTGGTGTGTGAGTATATATGTATGTTTTTAAAGCAGAGTCATGTTTATGCCCCAAAGTTGTCAGAGCTGACATAAAAACGAAATCACTGCTTCAGACTCCAGGCCTAAAAATATCAGGGTAGGCCCTAGTACACACTTACTATCCTTAATCAAACTTTTCTTACTTTCTTTCTTTCTTTTCTTTCTTTCTTTCTTTCTTTCTTTCTTTCTTTCTTTCTTTCTTTCTTTCTTTCTTTTTCTTTCTTTCTTTCTCTTTCTTCCTTCCTTCCTTTCTCTCTTCCTTCCTTCTTTTCTTTCCTTCCTTCCTTTCTCTCTCTCTCTTTCTTTCTTTCTCTTTCTTTCTTTCCTTCTTTGTTTCTTCTTTCTTTCTTCCTGCACTTACCACAAGTGTCTTCTACAACCATTCAAATGTTTTCTGCAGCAAGCCAAGTGCTTCTTCTCCAGGCCTACATTTTTCCTGGGGGAGAGAAGACATCTCTCCTCAGTTTCAGATTACAGCAAAGACACCATGAACTATCTCAGTTTTATGTTACCCAGTCAAAAGGAAGACAGTAATATTTGCTACGATTTTTGGTTGCAAGTAACAAAAATTAACTTTCGGTAACTTCAAATGGACTTCAAATCTCCAACATTGACCTTCATGCCTACTGTATATGAATGTTCAATAAATGTTTCTTGAGTGACTACTAATAGGGGATCTTTTTATTTGGTATGTAGCTATGCACCAGGCACTGTGAAGAACAATTTATATGTATTATCTAACTTAAATGTCACAGTTATTATCCGTATTTTACAAATGAGGCAACAGAAATTGTTCAGTGTCATAGAGCTAATAAGTGGTAACGTCACCAGAACTGTGGCTTATCTAGAGAAAGCCAGCAAATGGGATAATTCCTTAAACACGTGATGTGCTACAAAGAAATGGCTGCTGCCACTTTTATTTTAGTTCAATTGTCTTTGAACTACATTTTATCAGCAATCTAAACATATCATAAACTAGAAACAGAACAGAAATGGGAAATTGTTTCTCTACCTATTACATCTATATCTATTTACTTAAACAGTTTATCCACACCTATATTTTTTCTCTTGTGGTCAGGGAAACTTTTGAAGGGAGCAAATACTATCACCTACAAGATGGACTAGGGCTTTGGGACTCAGTCAGAGTCTATGATTTTAGGGAGCAGGAGGAAATAGAATTTTACATCTATATTTTATTTATGAATATAGCATTTCCACATGCATAAGCCAATTCCTAGACAGAAATGTAACATTGAAATGCATCCATGAATCCTTTTCTTTAAAAAGAAAGGGAAAAAATTTGACAATTGCTAATTGGTTAATTAGCGCTTAACTAAAGTGACTCCAAATTTGAGCACTCCCAGATGAACAGTAGGAAAAGCAAGCAGGAAACAAATGTAATGCCTTGAAGTGAAATGCACACGGCTGTTAGTCAGACAAACAGCTGGCCTGTTTTCTTGCCCATCCTTTTTGAGGAGTGATTTCCTAAAATAACATGTGAAAATGCCCTGAACAAAGGAGATAACCAATAAATATTAATTCACTTGCCTCTTCCAACCCGCCTCCATCCCCTGTGTGCAAAGATCTGAGGCTACTCCATTTCTAATCAGAAAGAATGCAAGTTGTGCATTCATTTGTTCAACAGGATTTCCTGGGTGTCTGCTACATATCAGACACCATGCTACACACTGAGAAATAGCAATAAACCAAACAGGCATGGTCCTTGTTCTTGGTGAACTCACAGGAATAGACTTTAAGTAAATGATTACTTAACAACCTTCATGATGTGAAGATGCAACAAAGATGAAGGGGCAACCATGCAGAATCTAATGAGTGGAAAAAATTCCAGATCCAGAAATAGTCTCCCTTTTCTTTCATCTTCCTCCTTCCTCAGACAGGTATGCCACACCTGGCATTATTGGGTGAGATTTGAAGAGTAGGGTGTGGTATTGTCAGCGTTTGCATAAATCAGGTTGTACTTGACTGCAGCTCAGACACAGACCAAAGCCTCTAGAAAAACATGTGATGCGTTCAATCCCGTGTTCCTACTGAGCATGCATGTGTTCAGCCACTTTGAGATTGCCTCATTCCCCAGGGAAGCTCCTGGCAACATACTCTTAGTCAGAATCTCAGGTATCCTAAAATAGGCCAGCAAAGATGTCTGTGATGGCAGATGCTCTTGTTTTAATGTCAGTAAAAGATGATGGGGTTGCATAGTTGCCTCACATTCCCAGTGTCCTTAAATTTCCCTGTGGCTTCACAGCTAAGCAATTGTTCTTGTTGAGGCACTGAGCTTTGGAAGGTGTTTCTGTCATAAAAGTCCAAGCATATTAGAGATGTCTAATGTTTGAGAAGAGCTGAAAATTATTTCATAACAATAATAACTAATGTTTATTAAGCACTTACATGCCAAACACATTTTATACATGATCTTTTGGATGAATGATTATCCTACTTCATGAAAACCATTAAACTGCAGTAAACCAGGACTGAGAGTTTTGAAATTTAGTTCATTCCCTAAGAGCTTAAATATTTCATTTCAAAGAGAAGACTTCAAATCAAAATCTCAAACTCATATTTAATTTCAGGGCAATGTTTTTTTACTATGCCACTTAGGTCAAATTATTTAACCCTTTGGGCATTGGTTCTTAAAGGGATGAGGTTAAACTATATCAGCTCTAAGTTCCTTTCCAGTTGTGCCATTTTTCTAATTCAACCTGATGAATCCTGCCTTCTAAATAGCAGACGGTGGTCGTGAGTTTAAAATCATTTGCTTTTAATATATTCAAGGGAATACCTTCAAAAAAGAAAAAGAGAAGCATAATTGAATGTTATCTAGACTGAGGCAGTGTTGTTTCTATTTTTTTTTTCAAAAATGTTTTCTGATTCCCCATGGGTATTCTTTCTAGCTGGTTAGACAGAAACTTCAGAAGTGAAAACCCAGTCCTTTCCAATGAATCTGAAATGAAATCCTAATGAGGCTATGTTCTATTTATATAAGAGTGAGGATGGGGAGGGGAATGATTTTCTCTACCACATTTTCAGCAAGCTTTTGAAAAATGGCAATTTAGATAAGGTTTGTCAGTCTTCCCACAATGGCTAGAATTCAAACCTCTGGGAAGTTGGAAATGACTATTGTCCTCTCAACCAGAGCACAGGACCAAGTTTGATTTTCTGTTTTAGCCTTGATTTTTGGTGCAATCATTAAAAAAGGTACTTAATATGACTCTTGCAAATGTCTCTGCCTCCAAATAAAGAAAAATAAAATATTTCATGCCTCTCCAGAGAGCTGTTAGAACTCATTTTTGTTTGTAAATGTTAATAAAATGATAGGCATGGATACTTGCAAAGTATGGTTTCTCTGTAATGTAAAATTGGCCAGGTTATTGACTGAGGTCTGAGTAATTACTATAACTTGAGTTTGGTGTGTAATTTGGTGCCATTCTTCCCTTTGCATTAATTTGGAGCTAGGTGGGAGCTTTAAGGCTTTTTATGGAGACTGTCTATAATGATTTATTTAAATTCTGACCATGCTTTCCAATTATGAAAATATTTCAGTCACCTCTCTTGCTGACTTGACTCTTAAGATGATAGAGCATTTTCTATACATAATATTTGGTGAAGTTTCCCGGCTCCTGTACATTAAATGCTATGAGAAAATATGTGTTACGGGGAAAGAAGAATGAAGCTGAGTGCTTTTCAATAATTCATCATTCTTCCAAGGTGAAAAATCCAGCACTTACATTTAGAAGCACTATCCACACACCCAGCAATGTTGAAATTGCTTTTGTTCACTGGAAGAGCTGGCTGTGTCATCAGATCTTTCATTTATTCGGGTGTGCTAAAACCTGCATGCTAGCATTCAAGGTAGCTGTCCAACTAACTCCTTGGCCTTTCCACAATGGGAAATGTACACCTGGCTCTTGACAGACTTCATAGTGGTCATCTTGAGGTGGCCTCACCTTTTCATGTGCAATCCCAAGAGAAAAGAACCCAGAGTTAGTAATTCTAATTATTTCTCATTGTCATATCCTGTTATCTCCCACCTCCTGGCAAACTCTTTCATCTCCTCAAACTCTCCCTTCTGCTCACTGCAAGACAGCTGCAATGACTTCCTTCTTGTTCCCTCAAACACCATAAGGCAAACACCACTCCCACCACCCCCACCCCTGGGGCCAGAACTGCTAATCCTGGAAATACTGCAAGGCTTGCTCCTGGATTCCTGCTGATCTCAAATGATACTTAAAAGAGACAACTTCCCTGATCACCCTCCTCAAATAACACATCCCGCTCTGCTCCCTTCCCCTCTGTTGAACTCTCTGTCTCCTCAACCTGCCTGGTTTATTTTTCTTCAGTTGATGTCATTATTTGACATATATTTATTTCTCTATCTTCCCCAGTTATTACCCTCACTCTTTTCCTCCACAACAATCATTGCAATATAAAATTCATTTGTTTATTTTATGTGTTTATTGTCTCTCACCCCCTACTTTATCCTCAATGCCTAGAACAATGAAGCAGTTACACAGTATTTGTTGATTAAATAAATGATTGAATCATGACTGATAATATTCTCCATAGCTTAACAAGGTGGGAAATGTCCCTATTACTTAGAACAAAAATCCTAGCTTTTCAGCAAGACAACTCTTTATAATCAGGCTCAAAGCTTCTCATATCATCTTAACTTCTGCCATATATTTGCCCCTAGCCCATGCAGCATCTTTTCCACTCCTGAGGAGCATGGACTGCTCCCAGGGCTCACTCACCTTTCTTCCCTTTGTTCAAGCTGTATTGTGCTTCCCAATGTTTTCCTGATGAATTCTTACCCTTCCATATTAGCTTAATAGGCTCCCATACCAAAGTACCACAGACTGGTGGCTTCAATAAGAGAGATTTATTATCTCTCCATTCTGCAGGCTATATGCCTGAAATTAGGTGTCAGTGGGGTTGGTTCTTCCTGAGGGCTGCAAGGAAGAATTTGCTTCCTGCTTCTCCCTCCTAGCTTTGGTGTTTTGCTGGCAATCTTTGACATTCCTTGGCCTTTGCCCCATCTTCATGTGGCATTCTCCAAAATTCCCCCTTTTTTAACAGGCACCAGTCTTCTGGATTAGGGTCTCGTTCTACTCAGTATGACTTCATCTTAACTAATTGCATCTGCTATGGCCCTATTTCTAAATAAGGTCGCATTCTGAGGTACTGGGGATTAGAACTTCAATATATGGATTTAGGGGGACACAATTCACCTCATAGCACCTTTCTTCAAAGTCTAGAGAAAATATCGCCTTCTCCAAAATGCTTTTCTTGATACGTTTAGTTGGAGTCCCTTTTTCTTCTTTGTTTTCGTGGTGCTGGATTTATATCCATATTTTTCCTTTTACAATACTTATTTCACTAACTTATTCATTTACTCTTCAATACCTATGGGTGAGTAGGGCAGAATAACATTTTCTTTCATCAACAATAGGGCCTTAGTTGGAATGGGCCCCTATAATAAAAGACAGATCAGCAAGAGGAAAACAGAAGTCTAATTTCACATATACATGGAGATGACCAGGGAATATGTAGTCCTCCAAGAGGTGGCTTCAAATTCCAGCGTATATAGCATCTTAACAATGAACAACAAATTTTAGAGAAGTGATGAGACTAAAGGAAAATGACTTTGAGTTCCAGGGGTGAGAACTTGTGAGTAGAAAAATAAATGGCAGATAAAGGCTCATTAGTACAGCTTGTTCATGTAGATTCCTCTGGTATCTTTCACGGGCATCCCTGTGAAGAGACCACCAAACAGGCTTTGTGTGAGCAACAAGGCTGTTTATTTCACCTGGGTGCAGGCGGGCTGAGTCCGAAAAGAGAGCCAGCGAAGGGAGATAGGGGTGGGGCCATTTTATAAGATTTGGATAGGTAAAGAAAAATTACAGTCAAAGAGGGGTTGTTCTCTGGCGGGCAGGTGTGGGGGTCACAAGGTGCTCAGTAGGGGAGCTTTTGAGCCAGGATGAGCCAGGAGAAGGAATTTCACAAGGTAATGTCATCAGTTAAGGCAGGAACAGACCATTTTCACTTCTTTTGTGGTGAAATGTCATCAGTTAAGGCAGGAACTGGCCATCTGGATGTGTATGTACAGGTCACAGGGGATATGATGGCTTAGCTTGGCCTCAGAGGCCTGACATTCCTGTCTTCTTATATTAATAAGAAAAATAAAATGAAATAGTGGTAAAATGTTGGGATTGTGAAAATTTTTGGGGGTGGTATGGAGAGATAATGGGCGATGTTTCTCAGGGCTGCTTCCAGGGGGATTAGGGGCGGCACGGGAACCTAGAGTGGGAGAGATTAAGCTGAAGGAAGATTTTGTAGTAAGGGATGATATTGTGGGGTTGTTAGAAGAAACATTTGTCATTTAGAATTATTGGTGATGGCCTGGATATGGTTTTGCATGAATTGAAAAACTAAATGGAATAAGAGAAGGAGAAAAACAGGTATTAAATGTCTAAGAATTGGGAGGACCTAGGACATTTAATTAGAGAGTGCCTAAGGAGATTCAGCATAGTCCTGCCAGCAAAGATTATTTATTTACTTTAAGAGTTAAGAGTGGCAGTTTGGGGATAGCACCAGGAGATATCAGCTGTGATGGCTTGGAGAAACAGTGTAAACTGGCAGTGTAAACAAGAGCGCAGTGTAAACAAGAGCAGGGCATGTATGAGTAGTTGAGAATGGTGAATAGGAGTATGACTAGACAGAAGATAGTAGGGATGACAAATTTTTTGGGGCACAGTCCAAGTTGGTCTGGTGTCTGGAATGAGACTGGGGCCTAATAAAAAGGAGGTCTATATAGGAGCTCAAATGGGCTGTACCCTGTAGCATTCCGAGGATAGTCCTGAATTCTGAGAAAGGAAAGTGGTAAAAGTATTGTCTAGTCATTTTTAAGCTGGTGGCTGAGCTTGGTGAGGTGTGTTTTTAAAAGACTATTAGTCTGTTCTACTTTTCCTGAAGATTGAGGACTGTAAGGGATATAAAGGTTTCACTAAATACTAAGAGCCTGAAAAAATGCTTGGCTGATTTGACTAATAAAGGCCGGTCTCCTATCAGACTGTACAGAGGTGGGAAGGCCAAACCGAGGAATTATGTCTGACAGAAGGGAAAAAATGACCACAGTGGCCTTCTCAGACCCTGTGGGAAAGGCCTCTACCTACCCACTGAAAGTGTCTACCTAGACTAAGAGGTATTTTAGTTTTCTGACTAGGGGCATGTGAGTAAAGTCAATTTGCCAGTCTTGGGCAGGGGCAAATCCTCGAGCTTGATGTGTAGGAAAGGGAGGGGGCCTGAACAATCCCTGAGGGGTGGTAGAATAGTAGATGGAACACTGAGAAGTGATTTCTTTGAGGATAGATTTCCAGGATGGAAAGGAAATGAGAGGTTCTAAGAGATGGGCTAGCAGCTTGCAACTTACAAGGAAGAGGTTATGAAATGACAACAGAATAGAATGGGCCATGAGGCTGGAAGGAGATATTTTCCTTGGTCTAAGAACTATTTGCCTTGTGTGGGAAGAGATTGATAGGTGAAGTTTCAGCGGGCTAGTAGGTGGGAGTGACCGATGTGAAGGAGAAAAACTGGCCATGAGGGACGAAGTTGGAAAGCTAACTGCTTGTATAGCCACTTTATCAGCCTAAGTGTTGCCTAGAGCAATGGGATCTGATGCCTTCTGATGGCCTTTGCAGTAAAAGGGCTCCAGCTTCCTTTGGAAGTAAAGCGGCCTCGAGCAGTTTTTATCAAAGAGGCATTAATTAATGACGGAGGACCTTTGAGCAGTGAGGGAACCTCTTTCAGCCTATATAACAGCATGGTGGTGCAGAATACGAAAGGCATATTTAGAGTCAGTATAAATATTGATGTGTAGTCCTTTTGCAAGAGTGAGGGCTTGAGTTAAGGCAACTAGTTTGGCTTGCTGAGAGGTAGTGGAGGGGGGCAGAGTGGTAGCCTCAATGATAGATGTGGAAGATACTATAGCATAGCCTGCTTTTGCTGGTGAATGGCAATTAGGCCTGGTGGGACTGCCATCAATAAACTAAATGTGATCAGGGTGAGGAACAGGAAATAAAGAAATATGGGGATCAGGTGGATCAGAGAGATATAGTCATGAGGGTCAGGTGTAATATCCAGAATAATGTGGGAGGCCGGACTGAAGTCCATGCTGGGAACAATGGTAATTGTGGGAGACTCAACAAGGAGTGAGCATAGCTGAAGGAGCCGGGAAGCAGAAAGTATATGCATCAGGTATGAAGAGGAAAATAGATTTTGGAAGTTATGAGAACTGTAGAGAGTGAGTTGAGCATAGTTTGTGATTTTTAGGGCCTCTAAAAGTATTAAAGCAGCAGCAGCCACTGCACGCAGACATGAGGGCTAGGCTAAAACAGTAAGGTCAAGTTGTTTGGACAGAAAGGCTACAAGGTGCAGTCTTGGCTCTCGTGTAAGAATTCTGACTGCACTAACCATGCCTAGGAAGGAAAGGAGTTGTTGTTTTGTAGAAGGGATTGAGGTTTGGGAGATTAGTCAAACACGATCAGCAGGGAGAGCACGTGTGTTTTTATGAGAATTATGCCGAGATAGGTAACAGATGAGGATGAAATTTGGGCTTGACTGAAGTAATGGGGGCTGTCTGTGAAGACTTGTGGCAGTACAGCGTAGATAATTTGCTGAGCGTGATGGGTGTCAGGGTCAGTCCAAGTGAAAGCAAAGAGAGGCTGGGATGAAGGGTGCAAAGGAATAGTAAAGAAAGCATGTTTGAGATCCAGAACAGAATAATGGATTGTGGAGGGAGGTATTGAGGATAGGAGAGTATATGGGTTTGGCACTATGGGGTGGATAGTCAAAACAATTTGGTTGATAAGGTGCAGATCCTGAATTAACTTGTAAGGCTTGTCTGGTTTTAGGACAGGTAAAATGGGGGAATTGTAAGGAGAGTTTACAGGCTTTAAAAGGCCATGTTGTAGCAGGCGAGTGATAAACAGGCTTTAATCTTTTTAAAGCATGCTGCGGGATGGGATATTGGCGTTGAGCGGGGTAAGGGTGATTAGGTTTTAATGAGATGGTAAGGGGTGCATGATCAGTCACCAAGGAGGGAGTAGAGGTATCCTATACTTGTGGGTTAAGGTTAGGGGATACAAGAGGAGGACGCAAAGGAGGCTTTGGATTGGGAAGAAGGGCGGCAATGAGATGTGGCTGTAGTCCAGGAATAGTCAGGGAAGCAGATAATTTAAAGTGTCTCAGCCTAATAAGGGAACTGGGCAGGTGGGGATAACTAAAAAGGAGTGCTTAAAAAAGTACTGTCTAAGTTGGCACCAGAGTTGGGGAGTTTTAAGAGGTCTAGAAGCATGGCCGTCAATACCCACAACAGTTATGGAAGCAAGAGAAACAGGCCTTTGAAAAGAAGGTAATGTGGAGTGGGTAGCCTCCATATTGATTAAGAAGGGGACGGACTTACTTTCCACTGTGAGACTTACTCGAAGCTCGGTGCCCACGATGGTCTAGGGGCTTCCGAAGCGATCAGGCAGTGTCAGTCTTCAGCCGCTAAGCTGAGAAGATCTGGGAAGGAGTCAGTCAGACAGCCTTGGGCCAGAGTTCCAGGGGTTCTGGGAGTGGCTGCCAGGTGAGTTGGACAGTCCAATTTCCAGTGGGGTCCCACACAGATGGGACATGGCTTAGGAGGAATCCCAGGCTGTGGGCATTCCTTGGCCTTGTGGCCAGATTTCTGGCACTTGTAGCAAGCTCCTGGGGGAGGTGGGCCTGAAGGAATGCCCGGCCACTGCAGTTTAGGCGTTTGGAAGTTCTTGTGTGCTGGAGATGTGGCTGGGGTTTGTCTCACAGTGGAAGCAAGGAATTGCAACTCAGAAATATGTTGCTAATTGGCTGCCTCTACTCTATTATTGTACACTTTGAAGGCAAGGTTAATCAAGTCGTGTTGTGGGGTTTGAGGGCCGGAATTTAATTTTTGGAGTTTTATTTAATGTTGCGAGCAGATTGGGTAATAAAATGTATATTGAGAATAAGACAGCCTTTTGACCTTTTAGGGTCTAGGGCTGTAAAGCATCTCAGGGTTGCTGCCAAATGAGCCATGAACTGGGCTGGGTTTTTACATTTGATGAAAAAGAGCCTAAATGCTATCTGATTTGGGATAAAGAAAAAGGAGCATTAACCTTGACTATGCCTTAGCTCCAGCCACCTTTTTAAGAGGAAATTGCTGGGCAGGTTGGGGAGGGCTAGTCACAGAACGAAACTGTAAGTCAGACCGGGTGTGAGGAGGGGAGGTGAAAAAAGGATTATAGGGTGGAGGAGCAGAGGCTGAGGAACAATTGGGACCTAGCTCGGCCTGGAGAGGAGGGGAGAGGTCAGATGGGTCTGTAGAAAAGGAAGATTAGAAAGACTCAGCGACGCTTGGGGTTGGGACTGAGGGGACAGGTGGGAGGGAAGGAAGATTTGGGATGAGTTGCATTGAGAACAGAGACTAGGGAGGGCCCAATGTGTAAAAGAATGCCTGGACGTCAGGCACCTCAGACCGTTTGCCTATTTTACGACAAGAATTATTTAGATCTTGTAGGATGGAAAAATTGAAAGTGCCATTTTCTGGCTATTTGGAACTACTGTTGAGTTTGTATTGGGGTCAAGCAGCATTGCAGAAGAGAATAAGATGCTTAGATTTTAGGTCAGGTGAGAGTTGAAGAGGTTTTAAGTTCTTAAGAACACAGGCTAAGGGAGAAGAAGGAGGAATGGAGGGTGGAAGTTTGCCTATAGTGAAGGAGGCAAGTTTAAAGAGAAGAGTAGAGACACGGAGAAGGGGGTGGGGAGAAGCCCTGGGCTCCAACGTGGGTGAGCAGCCAAAGCAGGCATCCCCACAATTGACTTGCCACCAAGGGAACGTGGGTGAATGATCAAGGCAGGCGTCCCCGCAGAAATCAGACACCAATGGAACATGAGTGAATAATCACAGAGGCATCCTGCAATGGTTAAACACCAAGGGAAGGCTGCCTCCCTGAGTCCGTGACAGGCGCCAGAGTTTTGGGTCCACGGATAAAATGTGTCTCCTTTGTCTCTACCAGAAAATGAAAGGAATCGATATTAAGAGAAGGGAGAGATTGAAGTGTGGCGCCAAGATTGAAAGGAGAAAGAGGTTGAGGGATAGTGAGGGAGGTTGGAGAAGAGAGTAAAACGAGGCCGCTTACCGGATTTGAAATTTGTGAGATGTTCCTAGGGCTGGTCGGTCTGAGGACCCGAGGTCGTAGGTGGATCTTTCTCACCGAGCAAAGAGCAGGAGGACAGGGGATTGATCTCCCAAGGGAGGTCCCCCGATCCAAGTCACAGCACCAAATTTCATGCACATCCATGTGAAGAGACCACCAAACAGGCTTTGTGTGAGCAACAAGGCTGTTTATTTCACCCGGGTAAAGGTGGGCTGAGTCCGAAAAGACAGCAAAGAGAGATAGGGGTGGGGCCATTTTATAAGATTTGGGTAGGTAAAGGAAAATTACAGTCAAAGGGGGGTCGTTCTCTGGTGGGCAGGTGTTCTCTGGGGTCACAAGGTGCTCAGTAGGGGAGCTTTTGAGCCAGGATGAGCCAGGAGAAGGAATTTCACAAGATAATGTCATCAGTTAAGGCAGGAATTGGCCATTTTCACTTCTTTTGTGGTAGAATGTCATCAGTTAAGGCAGGAACTGGCCATCTGGATGTGTATGTGCAGGTCACAGGGGCTATGATGGCTTAGCTTGGACTCAGAAGCCTGACAGTATCATCTCTAGATGATAAAGGTCTAAAGTTGTCTTCAGTGATTGACCTATGTTCTCTGCGGTAGGAGGAGGGGGCAGAAAACCTTTTGCCTTTGTAAATGTGTGTCCTGCTTTTAGGTAAATAGAGGGAGGGCAGAGAACTTTCCTGTATCTGTTTCTTTTTAATTGCCTTCAACTCAACAACCCTTCATATTTTGGGGTGACATTTTCTTGTCTCCTACAGATGTTTACATTGGTCTGGGAACATAATGTAAATAAGGCATACCCTCTGGCCTCATGGAGCTCCTAGAATAATGAGAATAATTTTCATCTCTTGGAAGATACTCAATAAATTTTGATTGAATTCAACAATTACCTTTCAATTTAGTGATAAACACATATGAAGAAGCAATGGGATAATGAAGGAAAAATGTTTCCACAGAAGAGATGTTTGCTTTTGTTTGGAGAAATGGACAGGTATTTGGAACACCAAGTGGGGAACAACTGAGATTTGAAGGAGTTTAGGAGAGGCATGAAATAACAAGACATGTTTGAGATGTTGCAAGTAGTTGAGAACACTTGGAATGTGTTCCAAGTATGGGGAAAGGCATGAGAGGTAATCAATCAGGAGTCATACCATGAATGTCTTTTGGCATAATTAGGAAATCAAACGTGCCTGGATATTGAACACAATTCTTCTTGTTCTTTATAAGTTTGTCTAAAATCCCAAAGTTAAGGACAATTTCTTTTAAGAGGTACAACACACACCTCATTAAGTCTTATCAAGAACAGTCCAAAGCATCTTTTTCCTCTTCTCTTCACCCCTCCTTCTGGCTTATATAAGAATTCAGTTTGTTAAAGAGGAGATTAATAGAGGCGGTGAATCTTATGCTTGGGGAAAAAATACTTGGCATTTCACATTACTTCCCTTCCTCTTTCTAAGTCAAGAGGAGAGGGGAGGACTTAGAATGAAGGGTGAGAGAGAGAGGGAGAAATTGGGAGAGAGAGAGAGAGAACAAGACATTCAGAGAAACTGAGGGCGCCTGCAAAGAGGCAAGGCCAGCATTTCACTCCTGAGTTCGTGCTTGTTCAGCTGTAGAAACTCTTGTGTTCTTCCCAGTAGAGCTGCAAGAATGGAAGGCAGTGAGGGAGTCCCTGGGAAACACACATGGACCTGGGGGTTGTATGTATTTCTTGACCAGAGAATCCTGAAGGTGGGAAGCTGAGTCAAGATCTACACTAGGAGTAGGAGAAGCAAGGCTGAGAAACAGGGCAGCAACAGGGCAGTTTCCTCTCTCGGCCTTATGGTGTCCAAGTGTGTCTCCTAGATGGTCACCAAGGAAGAACTGCCTTCAGGGTAAGAGTGCCTCAGGGACAAGACACAGTGGGTTGTGTTCCCGGGGCAGAAGTGGTTGCATAGGGATGGGAGCTGTGGAAGGGTGCAAAACAGACTCACCAGAGAATACTTCACCCACTGCATGAATTGTACAGTGTGGAAATGCCCCTAAGGAGCTCACAAATATGCACCACAAGGAAGCCAGGACTTGAATGCAGCTGTTGGAAGATCACTTGTGGCTAAGAGAGAAGTTGATGCAGCCCCATCTGATTAAATGACTACCTCTTTTTTTCTTAGTCTTTTTTTTTCTCTAGCTCAGATCCTAAAAGCTAGGGGGAAGAGATTGAGAGGGGGAATCAGAGAAAAGAAAACCAGACCATGCTCCCATATCACTTCCTTGCTGCGGGAACCCCTAGCTTTAAATTGGATGGTAAATTAAAGTATTAATTTAGACTTAATTAATTAATTTAATTTAATTCTACATCTAGCTGAAAAATGATTGTACCTTCTGATTCAGTAAATTTAATAAGCCTGCTACACAGACATTATCATATAGTGGATACAGAGTCACTACAGGTTTGAAGTCAAGGAGTCATGTATTCAAGCTATTATTTAGAAGATAACACCAGTAAAATCCTATGCTTTGTTCTTAGCCCAATCATTACTTTCTCAGATGAGCCACTCCTTCCATCACCTTGGTCAATTTTCCCTATTTCTAATATTTACCCTTATAGTGATATTTGCCTCTAAATTCCTCTTTCTCATGCTTGCTCGGAAGCTAATGGGGATAGAAATTTCCCTTACCTTTTTCTTTCTTTGCTCTTTTATTTTACCAGTCCTTGCATAAAAACATAATAAATAAAAGAGGAAAACTGCATACATATTTTCTATGTCTTTACTCTAATTTTCCTGAAAGTAGAGATTATAACCTATTTGTATTTATATCCTTGAATTTATCTAGACTAGTACTAGATAAATTCTAGTTGAAATAAAATTAATTTTAAATTATTTTTAGTGACTTTGAAATCTAATAATTCCCACTTGATATCTGCAGCTTCTGGATGTTTCCTGTCGTCTATATTTTTCTGCTGGTTCTCATTCATGTTGTCTTATCTCCTCATGGGCTTGGTTATATCATTGACTGTGTGCAGGACTTTGGTTTGAAAAAAACATTCCTAGATATAATTTGAGGCATAGAATAATATTATATTCCTCTAGGAGAATTTTTATTTGCTTCTATAGGTACCTGGGGGGCATTAAAAAACAAGGATTTTTTTTTTTTTTAACGGGGGTTCTCACTATGTCACTCAGACTGGAGTACAGTGGCATGATTTTGGCTCACTACAACCTCAGCCTCCCAGGCTCAAGCGATCCTCCCAAACCTCCTGAGTAGATGAGACCACAGGTGTGCACCACCATGCCTGTCAATTTTTTTTTTTAAATTTCTTGGTAAAGACTGGGATTTGCCATGTTGCCCAAGGTGGTCTCAAACTCCTGAGCTAAGGTGACCCTCATGCCTCAGCCTCCCAAAGTGCTGGGATTACAGGCATGAGCCACAGCACCAGGCCAACAAGGATTATTTTAATCCAATTTCAGGATGAGATTGTTCTGGGTGATCTGGGCCAGGCTAGAGCTAGGGAGAAGGCTAGTTTACTTCTGGGTTACCCTTACTCCTGAAGCATAGCCTTTTGAGTCCCAATCCAAGATAAAGGTGGTTTACCAAACTCAGTGTTCAGCCGTGTACCCTTTTTAAGGTTGTGAAAACTCTAGTTAGTCTTAGCAGCCTCATCTGGATCAACAAATATTCCCGGGGCAAAACCAGCCCCAATTACTGGGTTAACATCATTAGGGTAGGAGTCCCTTTCTTTTTCCAATCTTGGCCCGATATTCCTCATTGTTCTGTTATCTCTCTGATGTCCTCAAGTGGATGATTTTTTATCTCTTGTCCATATTTTCTAGTTGTCCTCAGTGACAGTGTTACTCCAAATTACGCAGTCCATCGTTACTGGATGCTGAAGTCTTGAAAACCACAATGTTGAACTGACTTATTGATTTTTTTTTCTAACTTTAGAAGAATGACCATTGACTTTGGCGGATTTTAAATTAGCCATAGCAGGAATCCTGGATTGTTGCCTGAGCACTGGATAACATTTTGAAAGCTACCAGGAAATGTTAATGAAATACTACATTCTATACCTCCGGAGTTCAGCCAAGTGCGTCCTCAGTTTTAGACTGATACAGAATACATTTAAACTTTCATGCAAGTGAGTCTTAATTTCCTACGAATCTGCATCATTTTGACTACAATACAATGTAAGAATTAACCTTGTGGTAATTTAAATTGTTTTTATAGCACCCACTTATCAAAACAACAGGACTTGTGAAAAAGCAAACAGAGAGAAATAGAACAATGAAGCCTGGCAAATCAGACCCGAAGGACAAGACTTGTTTCTGCAGTGACTTTAAGATTATTTATCCATTGCTACTTATCCAAACATTTATTAGAACCCTGTGGTATGCCAGGTATGATAATGGATGCTACAGGCAGGAAGCAAAAATTTAAAAAGAAAGCCATGGTTCCTGTCCTCCCATTATAGTGTCCATGCCTGGCAACTGCTTAATATACTATTACTCTAAAAACTTTCCAAACACAATCAGAAAGGTGTTTTATTTGTTCTACTGCCCAAACACATTTGCAGTGGGTCAAAAAATAATGGAAGCTTCATGGTAACAAGAGGTGATCATTTGCTCAATGTATAATGAAGCGGGAAAGAGAGTGAGAAAGAGTTGGCATGTTGGGAGGATAGTTTTTGGCTGTGCTGGTTGGGAATGGGGTGGGCAAGGAAACTGACAGGTACAGTGACCCTGAGTCTCAGCTTCTCTTTTAATATTTTCCCTTTGTGTTGCATGTCCACTCCCAGGATGAGACTCCTACCTCACCTCTCTTCTGACTATGACCAAGCAAAGTACAGTGAGAGTTCTGCTCAGATGAATCAGCAACTGTCTGTAATGGGGCCAAAGTCAAGACACAGCACTGCTCTCACCAATTTTCTAGATCAGAGGCTTTATTTAAAGGCTGAGGGAGAACTGAAAAACTTCCAACTCAGTAACCTTACTTACTCCCTAGACCCTTTCCAGGAATTGCTAACAATCCTAAAGAAAGGAACTACTAGGCCAAGCACATTTTCTAAGTACGAAAGAGAATTCGAAAATTAAGCAGACTAACAAAATGCTGTGAAAATTAATCAAGCTTCTCATATTAGTTTTTCGTAAGTCTTTTTGTTTGTTTTTGTTTTGTTTTTGTTTTTTGAGACGGAGTCTCTCTCTGTCACCAGGCTGGAATGCAGTGGCACAATGTCGGCTCACTGCAACCTCCAACTCCCTGGTTCAAGCGATTCTCCTGCCTCAGTTTCCTGAGTAGCTGGGATTTTCCTAAGTCTTAAAACCAGAGCTGTGACTATGAGTCATAATGTCACACCACCTTCTCTGTCTCTGTTGTAAATCATTCAACCAAAACTACACACTTTGGTGAAGTTCAAATATTTATGAATAAGCTGGCTGAACAAACCCACCTTGGAGCTTGGATGTGAAAGCTAAAGACAAACATGTCAAGACTGCACTTGACAGAGTTAGGAGATGGGAAGTTCAAAGGTTACAAATGTGAAACATTTGAGAATTAAAGGGTTAAAAAATGAAAGTAAATGCAACTGCATGAAGACTGCAGTAATTCATATGTCCTGGGGAAGCTAATCTGATACTAGCAGTCATAATTGTAAAATTGCACTGTTTTTACTGTTCCTTTTCTATTATGTTATTTAATTAATTAATTAAGCTTGGTTGTTCAATTAAATTTTAATTAATACAGTAATTGGAACTAGGCAAACAAAGCCCTGCTTACCAGCAGTCCTTTGGAACCTGCTTTGATGAACAGATCAAAATGATTTATAATTAGGTGTCAATTATTTATATGCAAATTATATTGTTAAAGGGCCTGAGGGCATCTTGAAAAGTTTATTTTCAAGAGCTTTAAACTTTCTTTCTACCTATAATCTTATTTACATATGTGAATTTTCTTAGCTGATAGATATTCATGGATAGTAAAACATGACTATAAAACAGTATTTCTCTGCTTTTACAAATTCTAAGCCTATGGCAAGTGAATTAGTAGTGTTTTCTTACATTTTGTTTGGTTTAGTACTTCTAATAGGAGCTCATCAGTGGAGAGCATGATGTCTATTCACAAGAGTCAATAAGACTAAATTCAGGGTTTTTTTTTTTTTTTTAGAGAAAATGTGTCTTAAATAGATTAGTTGATTTATTCTTTCCCTTCTCTTTTCTCTTCCCTCCCTCCCTCTATCCCTTCCTTTTTTACTGCTACTTTGCAAGAAGTTTCTGGATCTTTATGTTATTTGTACATGGAGACACACTGATCAAGTGTTTGTTAAATGTAATGTTCATCAAAGATACTTTACATTTATATAGAACTTGCATGAATATTTTCTCTTTTAATCCTCACAATTCTAAGATGTTTACAAAAAAAACTATTTTTTCCCTTTTACAGATGGGAAACTAAGTCTAAGAAAAGCAAAGTATTAGACTTAAGATCAACAATTAGTAAGTAATGGAATTGCTATTATTATAACACACTCACGATATTGACCAATTTTATGTGCCATAAAATTAGAGTAAAATATTAATATCTATGAAATGTTTTATGGTTTTGATACACAGGCATAGGGCAGAACCTGAACTATGTGCAAATATTCTGTTTGTCTGTTTTCTAAAGCTAAGAGAATACCAGCCTCTCTCCACATCAAGTAAACTTAGATCCCCCCACCAGTTTTGCTCTCCAAACACGGAGTCCTCTGAAATACAATCTGCAGTACTCGGAATATTTTAAGTGGTCTTCTCACTCACTAATTTTGCCTGCAAATGTCCTTTTTGGCCCTAGGTCAAGACTACTTTTTATATTTCCTATAAGACCTGGGTCCTTATCTAATGTTTTTTCCATGAAACTAGACAAAAGGGTCACGCAATCTGGATGTAGCTGTGACTTGTGATTTTGGTTAATGTACCTATGTTGAACCAGAGTCACCTTGCCCATTATAATTTTACATTTGTAGTTGTGTAAATGCCCAGAAATAGCATTTTTCATTTTTAAAATGTCTAAAGCAATTTTCTTTAATAAGCACATGATCTCTACATCTCTTCCTGTAACCTTTCTGAAAACATTAAAATTTTCTAACTGGATAGATTTATGAATTTTAAAAAACGACCAGTAGGACAACACGTCCTCCATTAACCTTGGACAAAAGTGGCTCATCCATTTAAGAAGAAAAATCAACAATATTCCATGGAAATATTTATGAAAAATCAAATACAGTCACTACTGAAGAGCTGATAAAGAAAATAAGGCATATGAAGCAAAAATACCTACTAATATATATATGTATGTATGTACATATAAGTAAAATATATGTAAACATGTACCTATACAATAAAATATAAAATGTTGAATATATGTATACATGTAGTTTTTACACAAATAACATATATACGTACACCAGAAATACTCTACCTCCTTATTCCTTAGGCAGAGAAAAAAATATATATATATATAGAAAGAGAGAGAGAGAGACTGATTTACTTTGTCACAGATTAGCTGAAGATGAAATGTTTTGAATGAGGCTCCTACCTGCTTTACTGTTACATTTACGTTTTGTCCTCTCTCTGCAATTGACTAAAGCCCTAGTAGAAATGGGCACAGGAACTGGAATATATGACAGAATGCTGAAATTGCATTGACAATTACTGGATGTAGGCTGCTACATATATTATACTGACATCAATTACAATTACATTACAATTAAATAACCTTGCTATATTGGAGCATGGGAATATGTTGCCAACTTATTCCTGCCTCATCCCTATCCTACCCTCTGTAGTCCTACACATTCAATTGACAGAAGCTGAAGAAGGGTAAAATCCAATCTGAGTTTCTGATATAAGGCTTTGCAATGTTCACCACCAAGTATTTCCACAAAACCCAAAAGGGTTCCTAATGTGTTCTCATAAACAGTTATGCCCTTTTGGGACTCTGCTATTGCTCCATTAGCTTTCAACGATTACCTTGGGCACCATAATCTTCTAGTAGGCTCTCCCACTGCTCCCCCAGGCATCAATGAATATGTGCTCAAGTCTCACAGTGGTTAAATGGGGAAAGGTAGCATGCCTTTCTTCCCTTTGTGTTATAATTTGTCCGAGAGATCACCAAGCAGCACTGCCTCTACACCAACACTTTCAGAGCTTTTGTGTAAAACTGCTCTTTCTATTTTAGTTAAATTTTTCTCATTCTAGACATGCATCTGGGTGAGACATGTATTTGAGTGATGGCCACTATGTTATGCTGAAATTTCTTATTCCCTTTCAATGACAAAGACTTTGTTATAAATATGCATTCCTCGTTCCTTCTTCCCTTTAGGTGAACTCTTTTTCCAGGAGGCTTCTCAGTCCCTGTGAAAAGAGACTTGAGTTGGGGCCATACCAAAGTTTTCTAGATGAATCAGAATGTCAGCAGAAGACATAGATTGTACTAAAGATGAAATCCCTGCTGCAGAAATAAGAACACGTTTATAGACTAGCAGAACTTAAAGATCAGTTGATACTCTGAAGTTTCATTCAAAAAATGTAAAAACGAATTATAAATTCAGAGGAAAGCAACTTAATGCACAAAATTCATTTGAGTAAAGGAGCCTGAGTCAATGCTATGTATCAAGAGTCCTCTTGAAGTTTCAAAATTGACAAAAAAAAAAAAAAAATGAGGAAGACAATTCTGGAGATGGAGGTTTGGTTTTACTACCTATTTGTCATTAAATCTCTTAGATCTTTAATTTTCTCATCTGTGAAATGGGAAGTCCTAACAGAAAATGGAGAAAATTGTGGATTTAGGTGTTATACTCCTCCTCCTTGGATAAAAAACCATGTAATATTTTTCACCTTCTTTTTAATTAGTGAATATATATATATATTATTTTTTTAATGTGAGGTTTTAAAAATCTTTTGTAGAACACTCTTTGTAATGCATGAATATCACGAGCAGGTTATTTTAATATTTTACAATTAGGATGAGACAGCCTGGACAGAGGCTCCTTTTGATGTGAGTCCTCCTAACCTAGTTGCAGTTTTCTCAAGGTTGTTCAGGGGCCAGGCCTGGATAGAAAGGGAGAAGAAAGGGTCCCATCAGTGCTGGCTGTATCATATTGAATTTTTCTTTCCTTTCTCTTGGGCTTTAATGGTACCCTACCACAGTAGGGGAAAGGTAAGAGCGAAATTATTTGTACATGTTAAGCACTGTGAGAAGCTTTGCCCTTAAGCACTGAATTTCTCAGTCTGACTAAGAAGAATGAAGAATTAAAGTGAAAGTACATGACTTCCCTCAGAGTTCACTGAGCTCCTTCCCTAGGACCCAAACTTTACTCTCATTATTGAGTTGCTGAAATGGTTTGGTTGTGTACACTGTAAAGAACTGTATGAATATTGTTAGAGTAGTCATCATATGAGGCAAAATTCAGAGCTGATTCATTAAGCAGCATTTATTGCTAATACTAAGGACAAAAGTCCCAATGAACACTGAAATTATATATTAAGGATGCAATGCCTATGACCTAGTACACCAGCCTGGAACTAAAAATTAAAATTTCAACAATAGAATCAATTCCTTTCTTAGCAGATCACGTTAATTAAACCCATAAAATTTCAGGAGTCTTTGGGGGGATATTTCTTGGCTGACATGTCCTTTTCTCCACTGACATAATGACTTGCTACCATAGAAGCCAGAGGTGAATAAAGTCACAAAGATAAGATGTCCCCCCCTGTAGTATCTCCATTCCAGATGTCATTGTTCTGGTTTGCTGCTGGGACTCTGGGTCCACACTGTGCTCCAACAGGAATGGCAAATTGGAAACCCTCGTTTGCTGTCCTGTGGTCTTCACTCCTCCCAGACTACAGAGAAGAGTTGCTTCTACCCCAGCTGTCTCCACAGATCACAGTAAAATAGCTCTTTAGGGTGCCTTTGGATTTTTTGATGTAGTCCCTTCTCCTTTCAGGGACAGGGGTAAGAAACTTTGTGTTCCATCCAAAATTGCTCTTCCCTTTTGTAATTAGTTTGCCCCCTAAAATGGTCCATTTCCCTTTGTTCAAACTTATGAACCTCAGTCCTTTATTCTTTAGATTAACTTCACCCACCCCAGGTCCACACTCTCAGTCCCTAAAGCAAATAAGCTGGTGGCATACCCATTTCCATTATTAGTCTTCTAGAAGTATTTAGTCAAGTCTGAATTCAAGTGAAATAAAAGAGACATATGTTGCCAAATGGAGTTCTCCTGCTTTAAGAATAATATCCTAGCCATAAAGTATTGGCAGTGACACATAGATTCTATACTTCATGGTATTTTTTAAAGAAAAATATGCAACTAGTTGTCTGAGAAGGTATATTTATTTTTGCTTAGAAATGAGATGGAGTGGGATCTGTGATTCAATCAGTGGACTATAAACTGAGTTTCTACTAAAACTTCAGCGTTTCATCCCTCAGGTAATGTTCTTTAAAGAAAACATCACATCTGGAAAAAGTATCTCATCTGTGCATCATTGCTCATTTATTCAGAAATTGCTAGTGAGTATCTACTCTACATTGTCAGTCAGTGTTCCAGTTTCTGGGTTATGGCAATGAACAAGATGACAACGTCCTGGCCCTTAAGAATTAAAACAAGATGGTGAAGTCCTGGCTCTTACAGAGCTAAATAAAGAAATAAGAGCAATCCAGATTGCACTACATGCTATACAGGAAATTGTGTTGGCTTGGGCTGCCATAACAAAATACCACAGACTGGGTGGCTTAAACAAGATAAATTTATTTCTCATAGTTCTAGAGACTGGAAAATCCAAGATAAATTTCTGCTAGAGTTCAGTTCTGGTGAGGTCTGTCTTCCTGGCTTGCAGATGAGTATTTCCCTCTGTGTCCTCACATAGTAGAGAGAGAACAAGCTCTATAGTCTCTGACTATAAGGACACTGATTCCAACATGAAGTTGCTACCCTCGTTCCCTCATCTCAATATAATTACCTACCAAATACCCCATCTCCAAATACTATCACATTAGAGGTTAGACCTTTAACATATGCATTTTGAGAGGACACAATTCAGTCCATAGCAGAAATAAATAGGGTGATGTAATAGAGAGTACTGGGGTAGATGAGAAACTTTAGGATAACAGAGAACTCTCTGAGGAAGAGCTAGCTGAGCTGAGAGATGAGAGCTGAGAAAGTAGCAATCTTGTGTGATGCTTAGATTAAAATCATTTCAGACACAGGAACAGCAAATGCAAAAGCCCCAAATATCTAAAGAGCATAGAAGGCAGATTTGGCTTAAGATAAAGGAGAAAGGGATAATGTCAGCTTGGACTAGGATAGTGGCTCTGGAGGTACAGGAATGTGGATGAATCAGAAACATAGAACTATAAGAACTTACAGATTTGATGTGGAAGATGAGAAGAGGATGGAATCAAGCTCATTTCTGGGCAATTGGATGTACCGTTTACCATTTCCTATAATCGAGGAAAGTAAAAGCAACTCCTTATAAATTCAAAAAATTGATAAACCATTGACACAAATGACCTCATAAAGATAGCAGTATTGATCATTCTGGAATATAATAAAATTATCTTCAAAATAAGTTCTTATCCAGAATCAGTCTCAGAGACTTCAAAACTGGTAATTTCCATATGGAAACCAAAAGATGGAACTGACCAAAATCAAGTAACAGATCATGAATTAACATATTACATTTGGATTTGCCTTCCCATTGTTTATTTCACTTTTATGATTATCTGTGCCTGTGAGAAACAAATTATTTTCTGTGTTAAAATAATAACGAATAATAAAATAGTTAATATTTATGTAGTGCTTACTATATTCTACTTTCTAGATGCTTCACGTGTATTAACCAAGTTAATTAACAAGTTAAATTTACTAATTTATTTCTTATAGCAGTGCTATCATTAGGCCCATGGTACAGATAGTAAAACTGAAGCACAACCAACTAAAATGATCTTCATGAGATATCATAGCTATTAAGTGGGCAAAGCCAACGTTCAAGCCCAGCAATCTGAAAACATAGTTCATGCTTTTATCCACCTCAGTATAATACTCCTCATTCATGATTAAGAGGGCCAAGGAGGATGGGACAATGCTAAATTAATGGGTTAAATACACTTGCCTGTAGGACTAATGATTTTGTAAGAA
Source organism: Homo sapiens (assembly GCF_000001405.40). Taxonomy (NCBI): domain Eukaryota; kingdom Metazoa; phylum Chordata; class Mammalia; order Primates; family Hominidae; genus Homo; species Homo sapiens. The sequence continues at coordinate 44,438,437 of NC_000012.12, read as the reverse complement.
AGCATTTGTAAAGATACCCTTATGTACCAGATAAACCCGAAGAAAACATAACTTTCAAGGGTTTTAAGGTCTTTATAACACAATAAGGATTTTTTTCAGAACAGTCCAATGAGCTAGCCATGAGAGAAATATAGTCTATACTGTGGTTTCTCTTCTGGAATTTGAAAATCGTCACCCTCGTCCTCTAGAAGAGATTGTATCCATTGCACTATAAGCTTTTAAATTCATGCCAATTAATAAAAGTTGCCTATTTGTGAACTGTAAACAGATGTATTGCAATAAATATTGTGATCTGACAAATCAAAAACAACAAAAAAACAATTTATTTCTTCACTGCAGAATAATTTATTGACTTTCCACCATGTACCAGCCACTCTCCTCAGCACTGGGGCCTCTCACAGTTTTACTTGCTCCTTAGTGAACAAAAGGCTTAGTTTTCCGATTTAGAAACATAGAAAGATAAATCTTTCATTGTGACATTTTAGACCCAAAAGTTGCTTCCTATTCACTTTTTTTTTTTTTTTTTTTTGCATCATGGTACTGCTTCTTTTCTAATCTCTGAAATGATCTGTCTTTAGTGATTTTCTGGAAGAATATATTTTCAAAGACATCATTTATTTGCAGAGAAGAAGGCACTATTACTAGTTAGCATGCCAGTCCAGCATTGCAATTAATGACAGAACAACCTGAGATAAGTTTTGGGCCACCAACCTTTAAATGTTTTATATAATGGTAACTTGCTTTGTTTTTTGAGTGGTGCTTTCTAATTAGTTCTATGTGTTGTCAAAACTTTTCCAACATCTCATTTCTATAACATAGTAACATTGGCCTACTTCTTCCTGAGATTGTACCTTTGCTAGTTTCCTCAACAGATTGTATGGTATGAGGGAAATCAATTGCTCATTTTTAACATCAGGTGAGATGGATAAGCCCAGAAGAGTTTCAGTCAAGTTTTGCATCCTCCTGACAAGGTAATACATGTTTTTCTTGTTCCAAGCTGCACAGTTTACAAGCAGCAACTGACAGTTTGGCAGAACTTCCTGAAGTCAGATCTGTCACGGTGGCTCCTTAAAGTCTTACTGAATGTGCTGTGAGTGTATCTATAACCATCCTTTTCCGCCAAGTTTAATTCCATAAGAGCTTTCTATCTTTGAACGTGCTCAATAAATGTTAAGGCTGGTTAAGTAACTGGAAGAAAGCTGTTAATCACCTCTAAAGCCAGATGGTGGTGTTTGAACTAGTCTGAACAATTTCTATATACTGAAAGGTACAAGTATAGTGGGATTTTTTTTTTCATTTTAAATACCTATCAAAGGTAGTAGGGACTGTGTTTTAGTCCATTTGTGTTGCTATAACAGAATACCTGAGACTGGGTAATTTATAAAGAAATGAGTTCATTTGCCTCACGATTCTGGTGGCTGGAAAATCGAAGAGCATGGTGTCAGCATCTGCTGGACCTCCGGTGAAGGCTTTCCTGTTGCATCATAACATGACCAAAGGTCAAAGGGGAAGTGACCTGTATGAAAAAGGACCAAACACAAGGGGGAACGTCACTTTATAACAACCAGTTCTCACCAGAATTAATCAATTCCTGAAAGAGTAATAACCCACTCACTTCTGAGAGATGATGCTAATCTATTCATGAGGCATCGGCCCCCCCAAACCCAAACAACCACACCTCCCAACACTGCCACACTGGGAATAGACTTTCAACATGACTTTTAGTGGGGACAAGCCACATTCAAATCATAGCAAACTGTAACCTACTTTGTTTTGCTGACCTTTAGAGAAAGAAATGGTGGCAAGTTGATTTATTCAGAGCTGGAAGCCACTTTTGTGCCCTTGAACATAATTAATTCATACATATATTCTTATGGGATTATGGCTATTGCTACTTTTTAGAACATACTAGTGGAAAATTACCTGAACAAAAACTCTGTATTTTTTATACTACTTATTATAGTAGGATGCATCTTTATTAAAAATCATGACTCCTACAGAGAAATAGTAAAAATAGTCATGATCTGGAATATCATTCAAATGAACACTGCTGGGAATAAGCAAATCCAAGAAGAACCAGACTTTACTTCTTGGTTTCACTGCCCACTCACACCTTCCCAAGAAGAATGCCATCTACAGTTCCATATTGCCTTTTTTTTTTAAAATTTCTAGAGCGTTTTCATTTTAATCATGTACACACCCCTTCCCACTAAACTCTTCTTCTTTAGGGGTGCAGACATTGAAGTGTTTTAATAATCATTTACAGAATGTTTTGCATCTTCTAAAGAATATCTGAGGAATTCAACAATTTTTCTTACATTTTTCATTTATCTTTATTTTTAACTTTTATGGGTACATGGTAAGCATATAAATTTGTGGGGTACATGAGATATTTTGATATAAGAATATAATGTGCAATAATCACATTGGGAAAATGGGATAGTCATCACTTCTAGAATCTATCATTTATTTGTGTTACAAATGTTACAATTATACTCTTGTAGTTATTTTTCTTTTTATTATTTTTAAGCTATGGCATTTTATTTTTTTTCAGCTTATATTTTAGATTCGGGGGTATATGTGCAGATTTGTTACCTGGATATATTGCATGATGCTGAGATTTAGGGTATAAATGATCCTGTTACCCAGGTACTAGCATAGTACCCAACAGTTAGTTTTCCAACCTTGCCCCCCTTCCTGCCTCCTCACTCTAGTAGTTCCCAGTGTCTATTGCTATCATCCTTATATCCATGAGTATCCATTGTTTAGCGTCCACTTCTTATAAGTGAGAACATGTGGTATTTGGTTTTCTGATCCTGTGCTAATTGGCTTAGGATAATGGCCTCTAGCTACATCCATGTTGCTGCAAAGGACATGAATTTGTTCTTTTTGGTGGCTGCATAGTATTCCATGGTGTATATGTACCATGTTTTCTTTGCCCAATCCACCACTGATGGGCACCTAGGTTGATTCCATGTCTTTGCTATTGTGAATAGTGCTGCAATGAGCATGCAAGTGCATGTGTCTTTCTGGTAGACTGACTGGTTTTCTTTTGGATATATACCCAGTAATGGGATTGCTGGGCAAATGGTAGTTCTGTTTTAAGTTCTTTGAGAAATCTCCAGATTGCTTTCCACAGTGGCTGAACTAATTTACATTCCCACCAGCAGTGTATAAACATTCCATTTTCTACACAGCATCCCTAGTAGATGTGACTATAGAGAAGGTTGGGTAGGGTCTTTTGACTTTACTTCTATAGGTCTATGCACTTCTCTCAGGTACAGGTTTATGGTACAAGCATGGTGCCAGCATCTTGGCTTCTGATGAGGCCTCAGGGAGCTTTCACTCAAGGCAGAAGGTGAAGAGGGGAGCAGGCATGTCACATGGTGAGAGAAGAAGCAAGAGAGAGATGAGAGAGGTGTCAGACTCTTTAACAATCAGATCTCATGGCAACTCATTAGCATGGGGAGGGCACCAAGTCATTCATGAAGGATCTGTTTCATGACCCAAACACCCCCTACCATGCCTCACCTCCAATATTAGGGATCACATTTCAATATGAGATTTGGAGGGAACATCCAAACTATATCAACCATCGTCTGATATTGGGGACATACATTATTTTGCTGAATTCTTTATTTTTAGAGAAGCCTAAAGGTAGAAAGGAGGTTCAACCAGCCTGCCTTAACAGGGATTCAAAAGCAAGGAGGCATGAGGGAGCAAGAAGGCATGAGTTTCCACATTCTAGATGAATGCTAGGGGAGGTAGCTGTACTGGAGCTGTTTTGATGTGACCAGTAGTAAAAGGCGAGGGACAGGAGCTTAGGGAGAATCACAGGAGTCAGTTGAGAGTGCACAATGCACATCAGTCCCTGGGCTCTGCATCGAGATCTCCTGAGGGATCTTCTCCAGTCGTCTCTTCTGTGTGAGCTCTCTATGCCCAGCATTGGTATACTGCTTTCTCTTTCTTTCAATCTCCTATCCTTTGTCTCTCCTCCCCAAAAGACATCCTTCCTAACCTTCCAAATTCTCCTGAATTGCTTAAGGAGAGCAGGTTAACTCTCTGCCTTTCTTCTTACCCATCCCCGGTAAGTTGTTTCTAGATTCAGAACCCCTTAATACCTGTTAAAAAGTGCAGAACAAAGCAACTCATTTTTATTTATTGTCAATTTATACTATTTTATTCAAAATTATTTGTTGATACTTTCAAGAAAAAAAGTTATAAAAAGAAGACAATCCCTTACATTTCAGAAGTAAAGGAATTCAGTGTTATCAGTTACCCAAGATGATTTGATTACCGTAATTAGGTCTTAAATTTAGCTGAATTAAATTTCCTGGCAGTAAAGAAAAGAAAGAAGATGTGAGTTATGAAGCATTGACTTTCTGGCAGAAGAAAACATTCAAATTTGTTAGTAGAGAAACTTCTTTCATAAACTAAATCCAAACATGAATTTATTGTATGAGTCATTAAATAAGATGCTATGACTTTCAAAAGATGCTTAAGTGCTGCTAGTTTGCAGCAACATTACTGCAGCTGGAGGCCATTATCCTAAGTGAAATAACACAGAAACAGAAAATGAAATACCACATGTTCTCACTTATAAGTGAGAGCTAAACACTGGGTACACACGTGGATATAAAGATGGAAACACTAGACACTGGGACTCCAAAAGTTGAGAGGGAGGAAAGGATGGGGGCAAGGGTTGAAAAACTACCTATTGGATAATACCTTCACTATTTGGATGAAGGGTTCCCTAAAGGCCAAACCCAGCATTGTACAATATACCCATGTAACAAACCTGCACATACACCCCTGAATCTATAGTTTCAATAGATAAATAATGCTGTGAGCATGGATGGCTCTTGAATTGATACTCTGTAAAGCCTGAGGACATAATATCACATTGTAAGGGCAATTCTGTGGAATAGTGGAAAGCACATTGGAACTAGAGTTCAAAGGCCTGGATTTGAATCCTGGTCCTACAACTTTTGGGGATTTTGTAAAAGTTTACTGAGTTCTCTGAGCAACATTTTTCTTATCTACAAAGAATAATACTTGCTTTAAGTCTGTTTTATGGAAATTAAATAAATTAATAGACATGAACTTGTATAAATTTGTCTGTCTCAAGCTAGAAGATTAAATGTTTTTAACATTTTAATCTGAGAATAAGAAGAGAAATTACAACTACCAATACTTTTCTCACAGCATTTACTTTTATTTTTGCATTTGGCATACATCATTTTCTTCTATCAGAAATCTTTTTCCCATTTTAGAGGGAGAAAGTGAGGCTTTTGGATCCTGGATTGAGTTTGGCCCATAGATATCCATAGATTCTTTAAAAGACAAAACAACACAGAACAAAGCAACAGTGGTACCATTCTGCTTGACTGTTCTTTGAGGACCTGCTGGCATCCTTGTCTTCTAAGGCATTTCAGGAGAGTTCCGTACTGGGCTGAGCACGGTCTTTCTCTGAAGTGGGGAGACCAGTTGGCTTTATACCTTGATAGGCAGCAAAGCAGAGTTTTTTCCTGGAGTCCCAGTGGGGAACTGACAATTTTCCAAATTAGCCCACAAGAACAGAAACTGCTATATCTTCACCAGCACCCAAGGGAATGCTGATGTTCCAGGAGTATCAGAAGCACATTTTGAGCCCCAGTGATAAATCTAAGTGTGGGCAAAAAACTAGAATAATCCTCTGAGGGAACCCAAGTGTCTTTAAAAACATTCAATTATAACTCCTCAAAGGACTGATCTTCAACCTAAAACATTTAATAAATTCACTTTTAAAAATAATTACCGCTATTAAGGCTCAAATTTGAAGTCCAAATGATTAAATGGAAGAAATATTTGAAAATATAGAGAAAAAAATACAAACAGATAAAACCATCACGGAATATGTAAAAAGCTTAGGAGGCAGATCTAATTGGCATAACTTACAAATAATGAGAATTCCAAAAGAAGTAAAAAGAATATATGTAAGAGGGGCTATAATTTTTGTAAAGGGAAGGACATTTATCTAAGTTAAAGGATAACTGGAATCTGAATCTGCAAATTAGAGGGTTTGCTGGAATCCAGAGAGAAATAAATTAAAAAGAAAGACACAAAACTAGGCGTATCTAGATAACATTTCTGAGCTCTAAGAATAAGAGGAAGAACACTTACAAATTACCAGGAGGAATAAAAATGACTTACAAAGGAAAAACAGTTTTGTATCAGAGCTTTCAGTAGTGACAATAAAAACTAGACACTCGAAAAAAACCCTACAGACTGATGGAAAAAAAGAACTGCAGCCTAAGAATCTCATATCTTGGGATAATATTCTTTATCAGTTAGGATGAAAGATATTTGAGAACGTGCAAGAATTCACATAATGTCTATGCTACTATCTTGTCTGAGCAAAACTCACTTATGAGAAATTATGTCTGAGAAAAACACTCATATTATGAGAAAGACATACTAAATGAAACGTAACAGAAACTTCACTATCAGCAGTAGGAGGAAGTGAGAGACATTGGTTACATGCCAGTAATTCTGCTCCTCGTATAGTTAAATTTAAATGGATAATATAATGATAGAGTGATTGGGACCATGCAAAAGGAATGCTAAATAATAATTAGAAAGAAGAGATGCACGGCAATCAGGACAATCTCTAAGAGACTGCGCCGCTCGGGGCACCTCAGCCAGGTGTGGTGGGATGAATAATGCACCCCCCCAAAAGAAGTCCACAGCCTATTTCCAGGAACCTACGAATGTGCTATGTTATGTGACAAAGGGACTTTGCAAATGTGACTAAATCATGAACCTGGAGATGGGGAGATTATGTTCGATTATCTGTGTGGGATTATTCTTATCATATGAGTTCTTACAGGCATAGAAACTTTCCCAAGTATGGTCAGTGGGAAATTTGACTACAGAAGTGTGACAAGAAAGGTGAAATGTTGCTGGCTTTGTAAAAGAAGTACGAAGCATGAGCCAATGAATGCAGGAGGCCTCTACAAACTGAAAAAAGCAAGGAAACAAATACTCCCCCAGAGCTCCAGAAACATATGTCTACTGACACCCCAATTTTAACCCAGTGACATCCATATTGAACCCTAGCCAACAGAGCTCTAAAATAATAAGTATGCTTTGCTTTAAGTCACTAAGTTTGTGGTTATTTGTTGCAGCAGTAATAGGAAATTAATACTGTATATATATTTTATATGTATTATATATTATACATATATACATTATGTATACATATATATGTACTTTAAGTTCTGGGATACATGTGCAGAATGTGCAGTTTTGTTACATAGGTATGTGCAGGTTTGTTATGAAGGTATGCACGTGCCATATATGTATAATATATGTACTTTAAGTTCTGGGATACATGTGCAGAATGTGCAGGTTTGTCACGTAGGTATACACGTGCCATGGCACGTGTATAATATATAATACATATAATATCTATATATATACACACACACACACACACACACCAGTAAGTTCCCAAACTGGAGACTTTCCTTCCTTTTGTCCTAACTCTGGTGATTTCAATGTCTATATAGATGATCCCTCCAATATCTCGGTCTCTCAGCCCCTTAACCTCCTCAGCAATAATTTCACCTTCATCAATACTGAAAGAATGCCTTCTCTCAGAGCAAACCCTAGGACACACTAGTATTGATAACCAGACAACCTCCATGATATGAATTCTAGCCTTTCTTGTCTCTGATTACAACCTCCTATTAATCAGTTTATTATCTAAATTTCAAACTTCTTTGACCATACTCACAGAGACAAATACAATCAAATGATCGCCTTGACATTATCTCTCAATTTTTCAAATGTCTTCTCTTTCCTTCTTATCTACTTATTCTCAATATCTTATCACTTTAATTGTTGTTTTCATATACGTTCATCTTCTATGCCTTTCTCTTCCTGAATCATATTTGTCTGGCAAAACCCAGTTTAACTCAAACTCACAGCCTATTCTCAACCTACACTCACACAGTTTATTTCATGTTTGGAGAAAAAGACAAAAACGATCTTAACTTTTCTCTCTCTAAATCCCAAACTTACCTCTGTGTTGCCTGCCAATCCGATAGCATTTCACTGGTATAGCCTTCCTCCTATCCTCTGGAACAACTATGTCACAATGTATGTCAGACCTCTAGCATCTTTTTCCCTATTCTTAGCTGATGATCCTGTTTCCTCCTTCACTGAAAAAAAAAAAATTGAACCAGTGAGAACTTCCACAAGCTCACATCCCATCTACCACTTTGCTAGATCTAAATCCTACCTTCCCACCTGCACCTATGGCTCTGAGGCCACTCTCTCTACCTGTGTCCTGAATACTTTGCTCTCTCACCTCTTCAAGAACCTCACCCTGCAATTATCCCTTATCTTTCACTCTCCACTAAATCATGGCTATTGACATACACCTTACATTAATAATTCCCATTATAAAAATTATTTCCATGATCTTGCTTTTATCTACATCTCAGTCTCTGCTCTTTATTATAGCAAAGCTCCACCAAAGAGCTGTAGGAGCTCACTCTTTCCACTTCCTCCTCTCTTATTCTTTCTAAAACTCATTCTAATCAGTCTTTCATACCCACCATTCTAGCA